>NC_000003.12:129614664-129766180 GCF_000001405.40 Homo sapiens | reverse complement strand
GCCATTTACACACAAGTTAGGAAAGACGAAGGGATTATTGCATTGCCTTCTTTTCCTTTGCTCCTTATTTCAAGTAATCAGCACAACCCATCTTTAGGTTTCAACCTTTGCATTTTATTCTTGGTAGTAGTTTAATCTTTCTACAGATCTTCTCAGGAGAACACAGTCCCAAACAAATTGGGCTTCGAGTATATCCAAATCAGAGTCTGAGAAAATTTCTCCCAAAATATTGTATGTAGGTGATCTATCTTCCTCCCTCCTTCACTCCCTGTGTACCTCCCTCCCTCCCTCCGCCACCCTCCTCTTCCCAGTTTTAGAGTAGAAATAAGAAATCTTCAAACTCTTAAAGTGAGGGTCTGATTTCTTATTTTTAGACAATAGAATTAGGATAATTAGTTGGATACTGACTAAAGTCAGGAAGAATATAGTTGAGCTCCATAACCCAGAACCCCCTGGAATCCTGATGACCATGACCTGTGTAGAGGTTGCTCTACCACTGAGACCATCTATTTTCCTTCAAATTCTGGGTAAGCTAGGAGATACTTCTCTTATATCTGTGTTGCTAATTACTAAATTATAAGAAATTAGTTTTATCTACCACTCATAGTTAATCCAAATTTGCCAGTCCTTTTATACATAATTTATAAAAGTGATTAGAGTCAAATTAAGCTGCTTTTTCTATAATTCTAATAAGCTTGGAAACTATGGTAAAGACTATAAAGCTACCTCTCTTCAGGGCCCTGATTATTATTGTTATGAGTATATTTACTGATAAATAATGGATGTTATATTTAAAAATATCAATATTAAAAGCATTTTTCTACTCATTCTGTCTTTTTCTATTTTTTAGGGTTTTAAAGACAGCTATTTTTCATAACAGGGTCATAGCCATTTCCTCTACTATTACCAAATTTGTGCCTGTTTTCTTAAGTTACTAATTAATGGAATTCTTAAAACCCTTGCTCAATATCATATATATAATTTTTCTCTGAAAATTTCTCTGTTTTTAAGTATGGGGCAGGTGACTTTTGGGGTTTTTTTTTGAGTATTTGAAACTTTGGAATAGAATCAATAATACAAGCTAGGTGCAGTGGCTCATGCCTGTAATCCCAATGCTTTGGGAGGTGGAGGAGGGAGGATCGCTTTTGGCCAGGAGTTCAAGACTAGCCTGGGCAATATAGTAAGACCCTCTTTCTACAAAAACATTAAAAATTAGCTGGGTATGGTGGCGTGTGCCTGTGGTCCCAGCTACTTGGGAGGCTGAGGAAGGAGGATCACTTGAGCCCAGGAATTTGAGGGCTGCATTAGCTATTATTGCACCACTACACTCTAGCCTGGGTGACAGAGTGAGACCCCATCTCAAAAAAAAAAAAAAAAAAAAAAAAAAAAAATATATATATATATATATATATATATATATATACACACACACACACACACACACACAATATTATAGGATGTAGCTTAACCATTTTGGCTTTCACCTAAAACAGACCAAACCAACGAGATGATTTGACAGTTAGGAATATCTGAAAAGGGTGATTTTCTTTGCCCAGGTGTTGATGAATGCTTTATCATTTCATTTAAATAAAGTTTTCACACTCACCATATTGATTACAGTTCTGCTTGACAGGAACTGCATCAGCCTTCTTTCTCTGTAGCATCTAATGTATTGCCATTATTATTATTAGGATGTGAGAAGTTCTTGTTATCCTAACCAAACCAAAGGGAAGCACTTAACCTTGTGATAGCAGTGGAGAAATTGTTATGGCCTTGTATGGACTATCAATGAATGGCTAAAGGGAAACTTTGATTTCCATTGAATTTACTGTGGCAGAGTGTCCTGTTTAAAGTCTGAAAATAGCAAGCATGTTCTCTAATTTTTATCTTGAGGCCTAGTAAATCATTAAGTCTTCTTGCTATCCACTGATCATTAGTAGAGGCTGAATAATGCTGCTGTCCTTCTATGTATGGCAAAACAGTGGAGACAGTAAACATTACAAAAGAGAGAAAAACATTCCAGTTTTGAAAGAATTAATTTTTTAATTTGTGAGATGAGATCAGTAGCTCATCATATTTTACTTTTAATTTTGTCTACCAGGAAGATTTTGGTTTAAACTTTAGATCCAATTTCAGTAAGCACTGTAATATCTATAGTCTTAAGTTTATGAATTATTTCTCTACTTCATATTACATAATACATATATTCTTACCCTTGTTTTAATGGTCTTATTTTTATGTCTTCCTGTAAACCATCTTTAAAACTTTTTTTTTTTTTAAGTAAGTAGACTGGTTAATATTAAATAAAAACTAAGACAGGTATTTTGTTTTGTTTATTTATTTATTTATTTATTTGAGACAGAGTCTCACTCTGTCTCCCAGGCTGGAGTGCTGTGACACTATCTTAGCTCACTACAACCCCTGCCTCCTGGGTTCAAGCGATTCTCCTTACTTAGAGGTAGCCATAGCTAAAATGGGAGAATTCCAGGGATGGTTATGAACAATAAATTAAATCTGTAACTGGTACCTACCACAGTATCTGGCTTTTATTAAGTTCTGAATATAATTTGTTAAATATTAAATAATCAGGGTAAGTATAATTTTTTCTTTTTCTTTTTTTTTTTTTTTTTTTTTTTTTGAGACAGGGTCTCACTCTGTCATCCAGGCTGGAGTGCAGTGGTGTGATCTTAGCTCACTGCAACCACCTCCTGGGTTCAGGCGATTCTCCCACCTCAGCCTCCCAAGTAGTTGGGACTACAGGTGCAGTCCACCACACCTGGCTAATTTTTTTTATTTTTTTAGTAGAGACAGGGTTTTACCATGTTGCCCAGACTGGTCTCAAACTCCTGAGCTCAAGTGATCCGTCCCCTTCGGCTCCCCAAAGTACAGGAATTACTGGCCTGAGCTCCACACCTGGCTATATAATGATATTTATTTATTTATTTATTTATTTATTTATTTATTTATTTATTTTTTATTTTTTGAGACAGAGTCTTGCTCTGTCACCCAGGCTGGAGTGCAGTGGCGCGATCTCGGCTCACTGCAAGCTCCGCCTCCCGGGTTCACGCCATTCTCCTGCCTCAGCCTCCCAAGTAGCTGGGACTACAGGCACCTGCTACTACGCCCGGCTAATTTTTTGTATTTTTAGTAGAGACGGGGTTTCACCATGTTAGCCAGGGTGGTCTCGATCTCCTGACCTCATGATCCACCCACCTCAGCCTCCCAAAGTGCTGGGATTACAGGCGTGAGCCACCGCGCCCGGCCTATAATGGTATTTTTATAAACATGTTTCTGAGTGTTTCAGGTTGAGCACTTGAACCCACTCAGAATGTGGACATCATGCTCTTTAACAAAACATTTTTTATATTTCTAATATATTTATATTTAGAAACTTTTTTTGAGACATAGCCTTACTCTGTCACCCAGGGTGCAAAGCAGTGGTATGATCATGACTCACAGCAACCTCTAACTCCCAGACTCAAGAGATCTTCCCACCTCAGACTCCCAAGTAGCTGGGACCATAGGTGTGCACCACCAAGCCCAGCTAATTTTTTTTGGAGAGATGACGTTTCAATATGTTGCTTAGGCTGGTCTTGAACTCCTGGCCTCAAGCAGTTCTCCCGCCTTGACCTACCAAAGTGCTGGGATTACAGGCATGAGCCATCATGGCCAGCCTAGATATTTTTTTGTCAGAGAAAAAGTGAGAAGAGGAAATAACCAAAAGAATGCACTAGCTGACTAGTCAAGTACAGGGTTCATGTGATCAGGCAGTATCATTAAATCCTTGAATGTATTAGTTGATGAGGTTGGGGTAGTCACATAAAAACATTTGTCTATATATGGCCAGGCAAAATAGCTCACACCTGTACCCCCAGCACTTTGGGAAACCGAGGCGGGTAGATTGATTGAGCCCAGGAGTTCAAGACCAGCCTGGGCAACATGATGAAACCCTGTCTCTACAAAAAATTATAACAAACTAGCTGAGTGTAGTGGTGCACACCTGCAGTCCCAGCTACTCGGGACACTGAAGTGGGAGGATCTCTTGAGCCCCAAGTGACAGAGGCTGCAGTGAGCCAAGATCACACCACTATACTTTAGCCTGGGTGACAGAGCAAGACTCTGTCTCAAAAAAAAAAAAAAAAGTTAGAAATCTAATCTCATTCTACTAGTACTTTTTTTTTTTTTTTTTTGAGACAGAGTCTTGCTCTGTCACCCAGGCTGGAGTGCAATGGCACGATCTCGGCTTACTGCAACCTCTGCCTCCCAGGTTCAAGAGATTCTCCTGCCTCAGCCGCCCAAGTAGCTGGGATTACAGACACACACCATCATGCCTAGCTAATTTTTGTATTTTTAGTAGAGATGGGGTTTCACCACGTTGGCGAGGCTGCTCTCAAACTCCTGACCTCAGATGATCCGCCTGCCTCAGCGTCCCAAAGTGCAGGGATTACAGGTGTGAGCCACTGCATCCAGCTCTGCTAGTACTCTTTTCCCATTTCTATTCTTGGAGTCTCTTGTTAATCTAAGAATAAAGTAATGAAATTCAGTGGGAAATAGGAAGCACAGGGATTTTATCTCTGAAGTCCTCAAGGTACATTAGGGCTGACCCAAAAAGACAAGAAATTATAACATCTGCAGAAATTGTTGGGAAAGTATACTAATTTTAAAACTAAATCGAGCCCAGAAAGTTGAGGCTGCAGTGAGCTGTGATTGCATCAGTGCACTCCAGCCTGGGCGACAAGGCAAGACCCTGTGTGAGGGGAGAAAAAAATCAGGGTTGACATGGCTTAGCAGGGAAGAGGAGGAGGGATCAACAGGTGAAGCACAGGGGATTTTTTTTTTTTTTTTTTTTTTTTGAGACGGAGTCTCGCTCTGTCGCCCAGGCTGGAGTGCAGTGGCGCCATCTCGGCTCACTGCAAGCTCCGCCTCCCAGGTTCACGCCATTCTCCCGCCTCACCCTCCCGAGTAGCTGGGACCACAGGCGCCTGCCACTACGCCCGGCCAATTTTCTTTTGTATTTTTAGTAGAGACGGGGTTTCACCGTGTTAGCCAGGATGGTCTCGATCCCCCGACCTCGTGATCCGCCCGCCTCGACCTCCCAAAGTGCTGGGATTACAGGCGTGAGCCACCGCGCCCGGCCAGCACAGGGGATTTTTAGGGCAGTGGAAGTATTCTGTCTGATACATGGATGCGTGTGCATGCATCAAAACCCGTAGAACTGTACAACACAAAGAATGAACTCTAAAGTATGAATTTAGTAAATAGTAACGTGGGCTGGGTGCAGTGGCTCACACCTGTAATTCTAGCACTTTGGGAGGCTGAGGTGGGTAGACTGCTTGAGCCCAGGAGTTCAAGACCAGCCTGGGCAACATGGCGAAACCCCTTCTCTACAAAAAATACAAAAATTAGCCGGGTGCGGTGGCTCACACCTGTAATCCCAGCACTTTGGAAGCCCGAGGCGGGCAGATCACAAGGTCAGGAGATCGAGACCATCCTGGCTAACACGGTGAAACCCCGTCTCTACTAAAAATACAAAAAATTAGCCGGGCATGGTGGCGGGCGCCTGTAGTCCCAGCTACTTAGGAGGCTGAGGCAGGAGAATGGCGTGAACCCGGGAGGCGGAGCTTGTAGTGAGCGGAGATCGCGCCACTACTCCAGCCTGGGCAACAGAGCGAGACTGTCTCAAAAACACACACACACACACACACACACACACACACACACACACAGAGCGAGACTGTCTCAAAAACACACACACACACACACACACACACACACACACTAGCCTGGCGTGGTAGCACGCTGCTGTGTTCCCAGCTGTTCAGGAGGCTGAGGTGGGAGGATTGCTTGAGCTGAGGAAGTGAGAGGATGGCTTGAGCCCAGAAGCTCGAGGCTGCGGTAAGCTGTGATTATGCCACTGCACTGAAGCCTGGGCGACAGAACAAGACCCTGTCTCAAAAAAAGAAAAAACAAAGAATTAATATGTCAGTTTTGATTTATCTCTTGTAACAAATGTACCACACCATTGGAAGATGTTAATGATATTAGGAAACAGTGCAGGGAAGAGGGGTTATAAGGGAACTCTGCATTATCTCTCCAGTTTTTCTGTAAACCTTAAACTATTCTAAAAAATAAAATCTATTAATTAAAAAAAATTTTTTTGGGCCGGGTGCGGTGGCTCACTCCTGTAATCCTAGCACTTTGGGAGGCCGAGGCGGGTGGATCACGAGGTCAGGAGATCGAGACCATCCTGGCTAACATGGTGAAACCCCGTCTCTACTAAAAATACAAAAAATTAGCCGGGCGTGGTGGCGGGCGCCTATAGTCCCAGCTACTCAGGAGGCTGAGGCAGGAGAATGGCGTGAACCCGGGAGGCGGAGCTTGCAGTGAGCCGAGATGGCGCCACTGCACTCCAGCCTGGGTGACAGAACGACACTCCGTCTCAAAAAAAAAAAAAAAAAAAAAAAAAAAAAGTTTGGCTGGCTGCAGTGGCTCATGCCTGTAGACGGGGGGCTTTGGGAGGCTGAGGCAGGAGGATCACTTGAGGCCAGGAGTTTGAGACCAGCCTGGGCAACATGTCTCTTAAAAAAAAAAAAAACTCTCAAAAATGGTCATAGGCCTGGCATGGTGGCTCATGCCTATAATCCTAGTACTTGGGGAGGCTCAGGTAGGTGGATCATCTGAGGTAAGGAGTTCGAGACCAGCCTGGCTAACATGGTGAAACCCCATCTCTACTAAAAACACAAAAATTAGCTGGACGTTGTGACACATGCCTGTAGTCCCAGCTGCTTGGGAGGATGAGGCAGGAGAATCGCTTGAAACCAGGAGGCCCAGGTTGCAGTGAGCCGAGATTGTGCCACTGCACTCCAGCCTGGGCAACAGAGCAAGGCTCTGTCTCAAAAAAAAAAAAAAAAAGTCATGAATTACACAAGTGTAAGAATTAAAGTAGTGGTTGATATGTAAGGTCACTTGGAGTTTGGAGGCAGTTATGGAAGAATAGTAGGGCTTGCTTTGAGATATCTGGTGGTTTATCTAACCACTTAAAACCCACAAACCTTCCATGTTCACACTAGCACTAATCACAATAGCTGACAGGTGGAAGCCATCCAGATATCTGCTGGTAGACAAATGGATAAACAAAATGTGGTCCGTACATACAATGGACTATTACTCAGCCTTAAAAAGGAAGGAAGTTTTGACACATGCTACATACATACTGCAATATAGATGGACCTTGAAGACATGCTAAATGAAATAGTCACAAAAAGATACCATATGATTTCACTTGTATAAGCAGTCAAATTCATAGAAAAATAAAGTAGAATGGTGGTTGCCAGGGGCTGGGAAGAGAGGGAAATGGGGAATTGTTTATTGGGTATAGAGTTTCAGTTTTGTAAGATGAGAAAATTCCAGAACTCTGTTTGCACAATGTGAATATATTTGACACTACTGAACTATATACTTAGAAACGGTTAGGATGGTAAATTCTAACCACAATTCAAAAAGCACTTATACAAAAACCCATACAAATCTGTTCATTTGGGAAGACATAAAAGGAAATAATTTGGAAACTAACTTTATGATACTAACATAAAGATACTCCAGACTCATCTTGTATTTTCCCTGCCCCAGCCCTACAATCAGCTATTTCTCAAAGGAGTCTTGGTTCCTTTTATTGGATTTAGCAACCAAGATTTGGGTTCTGGATTTAGCAACCAAGATTGCTACGGGAGTGTCATTGCTTCTTTTAGCTTACAGAACTAGAAAATGTATGTATGTAGGTATACCAACTCACATATGCGCACATCTGTAATTATGTATCCACCTGTACAATTATTAACCTAAACATGAATTCCATTAGATATCTGTTAGATGTCTCCAACTGTAATCTAGTACCACAAAGTTCATTCTTGCCTTTTCTTTTTGCTTATCTGTAAATTCCCTCACCAACAGTAAGACATCTGATCCACCACCCATCATCCATTTACTTATTGTTTATCCACAGTATACATGTAAAGCAGTTTCAGGACTGTGGATCTGGGAGAAACAAATTTACCAACTAGCATACAGTGTTTATGTATAGTTCCTTTTGTTTTCAGTCTTACAGTTTCCAGCCAAAACACTATTTTCCAATGTTATATCAGGTATTTGTATTAAAGGTAGATTCATTTTTCACAATCTTTATCTCATTCAGAGATCCCCATTGCATGGTTGATTTTTTTTTCCATTTTCTAAGTTCACATACATCAAAGTTTACTCTTTGTGATGTCCAGTTGTGGGTTTGGACAAATGCATGGAGTCATGTTGTGATTTTGAGTGTTATGATTTCTTTTTTTTTTAATTTATTTATTTTTAAGATGGAATTTCTCTCTGTCACCCAGGCTGGACTGCAGTGGCACAATCTGGGTTTACTGCAACCTTCAACCTCCTGGGTTCAAGCGATTCTCGTGCCTCAGCCTCCCAAGTAGCTGGGACTACAGGGGTGCACCACCACACCTGGCTAATTTTTTTGTTTGTTTGTTTTTAGTAGAGACGGGGTTTCAACATGTTGGCCAGGCTGGTCTCAAACTCCAGACCTCAAATGATCCCCCCACCTTGGCCTCCCAAAGTGCTGGGATTACAGGCATGAGCAACCATGCCCAGCCGATTCCTTTTTATTTTGGTCTTTGTCTTTCTGTTGAGAGGGGTCATAAGCCAGGATAGCCACTCTTTAGGAGAGCCCTGGTTGGCAGGGAAGGGTTATATTCAGGTGTGTCAGGTGAGACACAGTAAGAAAGTTAAACCAAAATGCATGAGAGAGAAGAAATTTGTAATTTGCAGAGTGCAGAAAGGTTGCTGAGGGGTGGCAGTGGGAAGACTGGAGGTGGCAGGGAGCTCAACCAGAGGATAGGGGAGTAAGAGAGAAGGAAAGAAAAAGGGAGGAAGGACCTGTGGGACTGTGCCTTTATTAAGGTTCATGGGCATTATCTTTCCCTTGGGGGTTGTAGATTGTAGATTGGCTAAGTTAAAGAAAACAGGAGTGAAAGGGGAAACTTATTTGTATGACTCTGGTGTTGACTGTTAGGTTTTATTATGATCTGCAGTTTGGAATGTTGTGGGCTTTGGGTCAATGAGATGAGGAAGAAGCAGGCCATATGGCAAACAGCCACACAGCAAGGAGAAGTTTTAACTATGCCAAGGGTGAGAGGCATTTCAGAAACTTATGTCAAGCCTAAGGATGAATGCTGAGGCAGCAACTATATTAAACAAATTTATGACACATGTATCCTATAGTACCATACACAACAACTCCTTTACCCTAAAAATTTCGCTTTGCTTCCACTTTATAATCAACAACTCCCCTCACTACCAACTGCTGGCAATCTAATCATTTTCCATCACTATAGTTTTGCCATTTCCAGAAGTCATGTGAATGGAATCATACAACATGTAACACTTTGAGTCTGGCTTTTTTCACTTAACAGAATGCATTAAGATTCATCCATCTGGCCGGGTGCGGTGGCTCACGCCTGTAATCCCAGCACTTTGGGAGGCCGAGGTGGGTGGATCACGATGTCAAGAGATCGAGACCATCTGGCCAACATGGTGAAACCCCGTCTCTACTAAAAGATACAAAAATCAGCCAGGCTTGGTGGTGGGCGCCTGTAGTCCCAGCTACTCGGGAGGCTGAGGCAGGAGAATCTCTTGAACCTGGGAGGCGAAGGTTGCAACCACTGCACTCCAGCCTGGCAACAGAGCGAAATTCTGTCTCAAAAAAAAAGCAAAACAAATAAAGATTCATCTGTCTTGTTGAATCAATAGAAACAATAGCATTTTCCTTTTTATTGCTAAGTAGTATTCCATTGTATGAATGTAATTACAGTTCAGTTACCTATTCTGTCATTCAAGGATATCTTGATTGCTTCCAGTATTTAGTGATGATGAAGAAAGCTACTATAAACATTCACATACAGGTTTTTCAGTTCACTTGGATAAATATATAGGAGCTTGATGGCTAGATCATATGATAAATCTATGTTTAACTTTGGAAGACAGTATGTCAGTTTCTTTTTTCTTTCTTTTTTTTTCTTTTTTTTTTTTTTTCTTGAGATGGAGTCTTGCTCTGTGGCCCAGGCTGGAGTGCAGTGGCATGATCTGGGCTCACTGCAACCTCTGCCTCCCATGTTCAAGCAATTCTCCTGCATCAGCCTCCTGCGTAGCAGGGATTAAAGGTGCCCACCACCACGCCCAGCTGAGTTTTGTATTTTTAGGAGAGACAGGGTTTCACCATGCCAGGTGGTCTCAAACTCTTGACCTCAAGGGATCCACTCACCTCAGCCTCCCAAAGTGTTGAGATTACGGGCGTGAGCCACCGCCCCAGCCTTGGCAGTTTCTTATAAACTGAATGTGCCATTTTGTATTCCCACTAGTAACAAATGAGATTTCTTGTTCCACATTACCAGGATTTGTTGTCTGTTTCTGGATTTTGGGTATTCTAATGTGTGTGTAATGCTATCTAGGGGTTTTAATTTCCACTTTCCTGTTAGTTTTGATGATGAATATCTTTTCACGTGTTTGTTCGCCATCTGTATATCTACTATGACGAAGTGTCTTCAGATCTTTTGCCCATTTTAAATTATATTGTTTTCTCATTATTGAGGTTTTAGAGTTCTTTACATATTCTGGATTAGATCTTTTATCAGAATTTCTGATTTGCAAATATTTTCTCCCACACAAATATTTATGGCTTATCTTTTCATTCTCTTAGCACTTTCTCCTTTCTCTTACAAATCAATAGTTTTCACTTTTAATGAAATCTAACTCACCAATTTTTTTCTTTTTTAAATAATTTCAACTTTTATTTTAGATTCAGGGTACATGTACAATTTATTACTTGGGTATATTGCATGATGCTGAGGTTTGGGGTATGATTGATACTGTCACCCAGGTAATGAGCATAGTACCCAATAATTACTTTTTCAACCCTTATTCCCCTCCCCCCTCTATCTTCTACTAGTCCCCAGTGTCTATTGTTGACATCTTTCTGTCATTTTTTTCTTTATCATATGTTTTTGGTGCTATATCTAAAACCTTATTGCCAAACCCAAGGTCAGGTAGACTTTTTTTTAGACAGAGTCTCACTCTGTCGCCCTAGCTGGAGTGCAGTGGTGCGATCTCGGCTCACTGCAACCTCCGCCTCCCGGGTTCAAGTGATTCTCCTGCCTCAGCCTCCCGAGTAGCTGGGATTGCAGGCGCCCGCCACCACACCTGGCTAATTTTGGTATTTTTAGTAGAGACGAGGTTTCACCATGTTGGCCAGGCTGGTCTCAAACTCCTGACCTCAGGTGATCCACCCACCTCAGCCTCCCAAAGTGCTGGGATTACAGGTGTGAGCCACTGCACCCAGCCTTTTTTCTGTTTTTTAAAAGATTTTTTATAATGTTGCATTTAATGTTTAGGCTTATGGGCTATTTTAAATTAATTATTTTGTATAAGTTGTAATAAGATGTAAATATGCTGAGATTCCTTTTTGGCAGGGATACATATTGACATACAAATTTTCCATCACCATTTGCTTAAAAGACTATCTTTTCTCCATTGAATTACCTTTGCACCTTTGTAAAAATGCAGTTGGCTATATTTGTGAAGGTCTTTTTTAAGACTCTCTATTGTATTCCATTGATCTGTGGACCGTATCCTTCCTCCGGTATTACCCTGTATTGATTGTTGTAGTAAGTCTTAAAATCAGGTCATATGACTCCCCTAATTTTGTTCTTCTTTTCCAGAATGGTTTGTCTATTCTAATTCCTTGTCTTTTCATGTAAATTTTAGAATAACTTTATATATGTATAAAAAGACCTGGCTAGCATTTTGATTGGGATTATGTTGATCAAACTGGGGAGAATTGAGTCTTAGCAATATTGAGTCTTCCAGTAAATGACATGGTGTCCCTTTCCATTTATTTGACTCTTCTTTGGTTTCTTTTATCAGTGTTTTGTAGTTTTTCACATACAGATCCTGCATATATTTTGTCACGTTTATAGCTAAGTGCTCCTTTAATGGGAGGGGGCTGTGATAAATGGTATTGCTTTTTAATTTGGGATTTCAGTTGCTCATTGCTGGTACATAGGAATACCATTGACTTTTGTATATTGACCTTGTGTCCTGTGACCTTACTGAAGCAACTTATTTTTTAGTTCAAGAAGGTTGAGTTTTTTTGTTAGTGGGTCTTTTGTTTGGGGGATTTTTTTTTTTTTGTAGATTCTTAGCATTTTCTAGACAGTTATATTACTTATGAATAGAGTTTTATTTCTTTCTTTGTCATCTGTATGCTTTCTATTTATTTTTCCTGCCTTATTGCACCAGTTAGTACTTCGTGTTGTTAAATAGGGCTTGTGAGAAAATATATCCTTACTTTGTTCCAGATCTCAAGGGAAAGCATTCATTCTCTCACCATTAAATGTGATGTCAGCTATAGGTTTTTCATAGATACCCTTCGTTAGTTTAAGGAAGTTTCCTTCTATTCTTACTTTGAGAGTCTTTATCATGAATGAATGTTTCATTTTAGTAAAAACTTTCTCTGCATCTATTGATATAACATCTGGTTTTTAAAAAATTTATTTAGACTTTTGATATGGTAAAATACACTGATTTTCACATGTGTAACTAGTCTAGCATTCCTAGGATGAATCCCACTTGGTTGTGATGTATTAATTATCCGTTTTATATATTGCTAAATTTGATTTGCTAATGACTTTTTGCATTTATGTATTGCTTTTTAAAAGGAAAAACAATACATAATTAACTTGCTGAATATTACGATGTCGAGTGTGAAAAACATCTGCTTTGGAAAGCTTGATTTCTTTATTACTGCCTTCCTAAAATTCACTCTTTTTCCACATTTCATACTCTGGAAGATTGGATATATATAAAGTTAGGACTTCAGATAAAAATCTGAGTCATTTGGAAAATTGTACATTTTTAGGTAAACATTGGACAAAAAATGTGAGATGATTCTCTATTCAGACATATATTTGGCTACTTATTTTATATGTGTGTTTTAGATCCTGATGTGGTTTGGCTCTGTGTCCCCACCTAAATCTCATGTCACATTCCCAGAGTTGGAGGAAGGGCCTAGTAGGAGGTGACTGAATCAAGGGGGCAGACTTTCCCTTTGCTGTTTTCATAATAGAGTTCTCATGAGATCCAGTTGTTTCAAAGTGTGTGGCACCTCCCCCTTCTCTCTTTCTGTCTCTCTCCCGCTGGCCATGTGAAGATGTGCCTGCTTCCCCTTTTGTGTTCTGCCATGATTGTAAGTTTTCTAAGGCCTCCCCAGCCATGCTTCCTGTACAGCCTGCAGAACTGTGAGTCAATTTAAACCTCTTTTCTTCGTAAATTACTGAGTCTCAGGTGTGTCTTTATAGCAGTGTGAGAACGGGCTAATACAGGTGCCTTATTCTTTGAAATTGATTTTTTTTATCATTTAGACATTTGGTACTTACTGTTTTAATGTATTAGTTTTTGTGTGTGTGTGTGTGTGTGTGACAGTCTTGCTCTGTCACCAAGGCTAGAGTGCAGTGGCGTGATCTTGGCTCACTGCAACCTCTGCCTCCCAGGTTCAAGCGATTCTTCTGCCTCAGCCTCCCTAGTAGCTGGGATTACAGGTGCCCACCACCACACCTGGCTAAATTAGATTATTTAATATACCTTTTGATCATTCATTAGTCATTTTCAAGTGGCTGGGGAATTGGGATATATTTAATCCAGAATAGAAGCTTTAAAGAATGACCTCCCAGGGTGAGTATAGTTCTGGTTTTGATTCTGATGATGACTATTTAGATTTTGGTTTTTTTAAAATCCCCTGCAGGGATACATGTAATCAATCATCAAAAATTCCGTTCTAGTGAATATATGGATGTTAATATCATGAGTGATAGGTTTAACCCAGATCCATAAAGGGAAGAGATAAGGTCACAGCTCGCTCATTCAGAGAGTGAGGGAAAACATTCTGCTGATGCCATTTCTCCTTCCAGAATGCTACCTAGAGAACTGTTGTAAGTTTATGCTGACAGCTGGGTAATAGAGGATTGCTGTGTTGGGAGGTCAGGATTAAGGTGGTCCTTTCATAGTATAAGCATTCACTTCTATCTAAGTTAGTGCAAACTTTTAGATTATGCATAAATTAAATAAATATCTTCTAACCCATCCCATACATTTAAAGCAATTAGGTTCCAGGAACAAGGGGTTCTAAGGCCTCACCATCCTAACAGTAAATAGAAGATAGGCAGCTTGAAGTCCTACAGATAATTCAGTATGAATGTTGAAGATAGAAAAGATATTATAGTGTGCTGGGCATGGTGGCTCACACCCATAATCCCAGCACTTTGGGAGGCTGAGGTGAGCGGATTATGAGGTCAGGAGTTTGAGACCAGCCTGGCCAACATGGTGAAACCCTGTGTCTCCTAAAAATACAAAAATTAGCTGGGCGTAGTGGCATGCACCTGTAATCCCAGCTACTCAGGAGGCTGAGGCAGGACAATCACTTGAACACAGGGCCGGAGGTTGCAGGAGCCAAGATTGCACCACTGCACTCCAGCCTGGGTGACAGAGCAAGACTCTGTCTCGGAGGGGAAAAAAAGATACTATTGTGTTTAGGGTTGGTTGGTTGGTTTGAAGAGACAGGGTCTTGCTCTGTCAGAAAGGCTGGAGTGCAGTGGTGCAATCATGGCTCACTGCAGCCTCAAACTCCTGGGCTCAAGGGATCCTCCCATCTCAGCCTCCCAAGTAGCTGGGACTAGAGGCACTTGCCACCATGCCCAGCTAATTTTTAAATTTTTTTTAGAGATGAGGTCTTACTATGTTGCCCAGGCTTGTCCTGAATTCCTGGCCTCAGGTGGTCCTCCTGCCTCAGCCACTCAAAGTGCTGGGATTATAGATGTGAGTCACTGTACCCAGCCTGGAGTTTTGTCTTTTTTTTCCCGAATTTTTGTTTTGTTTTGTTTTTTGAGACAGGTCTCCCTCTGTCACTCAGGCTGGAGTGCAGTGGCAGGATCTCAGCTCACTGCAACCTGCACCTCCTGGGTCCGAGTGATCCTCTCACCTCAGCTTCCTGAGTAGCTGAGACTACAGGCGTGTGCCACCACATCTGGCTAATTTTTGTATTTTTTTGTAAAGATGGAGTTTTACCATGTTGCCCACACTGGTCTCGAACTCTTGGGCTCAAGCGATCTGCCTGCCTCGGCCTCCCAAAGTGCTGGGATTACAGGTGTGAGCCACTGTGCCAGACCTTTTTTCTTAATTCTTATGTAAAATTTAAAAATATTTAGATCTGGCTGGGCGCAGTGGCTCACACCTGTAATCCCAGCACTTTGGGAGGCTGTGGCGGGTGGATCACAAGGTCAGGAGATCGAGACCAGCCTGGCTAACATAGTGAAACCCCATCTCTACTAAAAATACAAAAAAATTAGCCGGGCATGGTGGCAGGCCCCTGTAGTCCCAGCTACTCGGGAGGCTGAGGCAGGAGAATGGCGTGAACCCGGGAGGTGGAGTTTGCAGTGAGCCGAGATTGCACCACTGCACTCCAACCTGGGTGACAGACAAGACTCTGTCTCAAAAAAAAAAAAAAAAAAAAAAATTTAGATCTATTTCCGTAGGATAGCCTCTGAAAAGTGGACTCTGATTCAAAGGATATGAATATATTTAAAGATTTTGAAGGCTGAGCACGGTGGCTCATGCCCGTAATCCCAGCACTTTGGGAGGGTGAGGCAGGTGGATTGCCTGAGGTCAGGAGTTCAAGACCAGCCTGGCCAACATGGTGAAACCCCATCTCTACTAAAAATAGAAAAAATTAGCCAGGCGTGGTGGCAGATGCCTGTAATCCCAGCTACTCAGGAGGCTGAGGCAGGAGAATTGCTTGAACCCAGGAGGCAGAGGTTGCAGTGAACCAAGATCACGCCACTGCACTCCAGCCTGGGCAACAAGAGCAAAACTTTGTCTCAAAATAAGTAAATAAATAAATAATAATAAAATAAAGATTTTGAGACAAGATTTTGAAACATTCTTTTACCTAAGAGAAACAACTCCTTTATGTTAATGATGACTTATCCAAGAAACACTATTACTGTGAATGAAACTATAATTTGGAACAAAGTGTATTTTCTTAAAAATGCATAATAATGCATCATATGCATATAATTTCATTATAATGCAGTACATGTGTTCTGCTGAAGGTGTAAATTGACAGAGAAGAACTTAACCATTTAGAGGTCTACTGCAAGATTCAAAACAGGAGCCCAGTAGGTACTCAGGATATTTGAGTCATAGATTCAATTTGAATCATAGATTCAAATATTGGAAAGCTGAGACAGGTCTCAACAGGATTCAGTCTGTCCCCATATTTAGATTTCTGTATTTGTGTGTTTCTGGAACATTGATTTGCCTCACAATAAAGTATTTTATGTATAAAGAGAAACATGGTTCATGCTGCATATTAAATATTCCCTTTTCCTATTATCCTGTTTTATCTAGAATCTAGATATCAAACTTTTATAATGATAGTTATAACTTAGTCTTGGCAAATCAAATTCAGAATTAACCAAAATTCCTTTTTGACCTGAAATCAAAAACAAATTAGTTTACTAATTTGTAAAAACATCTTTGTTTTTACTTCTCTGAAACAAATGAAGATAGCTGGATTTTTTTTTCTTTTAAGAGATCAAAGCAAGATTAAGCATCTCATACCTATCTTAAGCTGCTCAGAACCCCATATCTTTTCTTTCCATTTTGTTTCCTCTGTTAACATTTGGCAAGAAGGATTTTATAAGTTTAATATGTATACATGACTACAGTCATTTATTCTCATTAATATCACTAGCTATAAGTAGTGGACTGGTTCTGTGGGAGTTTTTTATATGATATCAGAGTTTAAATGATTCGTAATTGGTATCTGAGAATCTCATTCCATAGGTCTTTTACTCGTGTACAGTGTTGTCAGATTGGGGATATTTGCTTGATTTTTACCCAGATTCCTTACTAATATATTTTAAACAAGTAGGGTAATTATTATTATTATTTTTTTTGGTGGGGGGTGGTTGAGGGGGCGGTAACTTTTGTCAAGTATTTGTTTCCTTATTGACAACTCATTGGGTTGTTGTGGAAATTCAATTTTTAATTATTTTTTTTTAGCGGAGTCTCACTCTGTCACTCAGGCTGGTGTGCAGTGGTGCAATCTCATCTCACTGTAACCTCCACATCCCAGCTTCAAAGGATTCTTGTGCCTCCTTCTCCCGGGTTCAAGCACTTAGCCTCCTGAGTAGCTGGGATTACAGGTATAAGTCACCAGGCCCAGCTAATTTTTGTAGTTTTAGTAGAGACAGTGTTTTGCCACGTTGGCCAGGCTGGTCTTCAACTCCCGGGCTTAAGAGATCTGTCCGCCTCAGCCTCCCAAAGTGCTGGGATTACAGACGTGAGCTACCCCAGCTGGCCCGAAATTGAAATTAAGTAGCACCTAGTACAGATCTTGGGTATGTAGTAGCTACTATAATGATTTATGAAACATTTTATGAAGTTGTACCTAAAAGTTAATTAGCTTCCTGGTTGGCACTTTAAAAAACAACAAGGCCAAGCGCAGTGGCTCACACCTGTAATCCCAGCACTTTGGGAGGCTGAGGCAGGTGGATTGCCTGAGGTCAGGAGTTCGAGACCAGCCTGGCCAACATGGTAAAACCCTGTCTCTCCTAAAAATACAAAAATTAGCCGGGCATGATGGCAGGCGCCTGTAATCCCCGCTACTTGGGAGGCTGAGCCAGGAGAATCGCTTGAGCCTGGGAGGCAGAGGTTGCAGTGAGCCGAGATTATGCCACTCCAGCCTTGGCTACAGAGCGAGACTCCCTCTCAAAACAACAACAACAACAAAAACCCAAATCTCATCCATTTACCCATATGTAGCAGGCAAGAACTGAATGGCAAGATACCAGGGAAGTGGCATGATGACATGGCTGTTTATTTCAATACAGTTTTGAGACACAGGAAGTGTTGAACCTGGCTTTGGGTTTGCCACAGAATACTGAGTCTCTATAGATAATATGGGTAAAATTTCTTTAGGTGTATGTAACATGACCTACTTGCTCAGCTAAGAGTGCTGATTAAGTCCATGTTTTCCTAGTTATTCAAAATAATATATTTCTAAGTCTTATCCTGTGTGAAAATGGTTTAAAGTTCTTTTTTCTTCAAGTTCTCTTCATAGATATTTCCAAGGAGTTTCCTGGATTGTATTCAGTTTACAGGGTTCTTTCTTAGTTATTACTATAGGAGAAAAGTGTGTTTCTGCTACTGCAGGACATGGGTGGGAAGGAGTGAGTACGGACAGGTGACACATCAGAGCCCAGGGGATGTGAGGGGGAAGGAATGGGTCTGTGCAGCTGTACAGCGTGATGATAAGGGGTCGGATTCATGTTGGGTGAGAAGGGAATCCATGGTGCAGTGAAGTTCCTTAGTGTGGAGTTTCAGAGCCCAAGTGGGATGAGGTTGACATCTACACCAGGGAGGTGGTAGCTGCAGAGATAGAAGATTGGTTACATATGGAAGGAGAGGGATTGATAAATACAGTGAGGGTGATGAGAGCAGGTTTCTCATAGTAATAAGAGAGTTCCAAATATGGAAAGGAAGAAAACTACAATAAACCTTGTGGTATTAGATAGGAATATTGTGGTTGTTTCAATTTTAAAATATTTTAAATTATCGAAGTAATTTATAAATAATTTTGAAACAATATAGCTTAAAATGAAGGTATATAAGTTTATAAATGGAGCCAAATATTATGTATATACTCCTGAAGTGTTGCCAGACTTTGCTGAGCTTTGAAAAGAACCATATGGTCCATGGATTTCCTCGGATTATATGTAAATTTGCATGTGTGTGAATTTTTTTTCGGGAGAAAGAATGCATAGTTTTCATTAAATTCTCAGAGGGGTTTGTGATGCAAAAAATGTTGAACTTTTTTTTATATATATGTAACTGAGGGGACTCTGAGTTTATTTTTAGAAATCCTCCTGCAGCTTACGTTAATAGAGCATGTGTGGCCTAATTAAATGTAGGTTTTAAATCAGTCTTCATATATATGAGGAATTAACATTTTATTGAATACCTTTTAATGCCTAGAAGAAAAAGTACTATTATACATTGA
This sequence comes from Homo sapiens, assembly GCF_000001405.40. NCBI lineage: Eukaryota > Metazoa > Chordata > Mammalia > Primates > Hominidae > Homo > Homo sapiens. The sequence continues at coordinate 129,747,021 of NC_000003.12, read as the reverse complement.
TTCATTTTCACAGCAATGATTTATTCTCCCAACAATGATACAAAGTAATTATTATCCTGTTGTGCTGATGAGGAAACTGAGATTGGGATTAAAAAGGTTGCCCAATGTTAAAAAACTAGCAAGAGGCCAAGTAAGGTAGTAGGTGTTCTTTCTGCTCCTCCACACTCTTATCTCCAGTGGAGTGCCTGCTGTGTTCAGGGCATTGCACAGGGTGCTGGTGATGTAATACTGAACACAACAGACTCTTACCCCAACCTTGTAAAGAATATAGGGGAATTAGGTATAGGGAATTTTAAACTATTGAGAATGCATTTATTTCAGATATTCCTTATATTGCTCCATTTGCTCTTTTAAGAATGCTAGCAATGTTTATTGTATTTCCTTAAGCCACCCAATACCTTTAGGGGAAAACACCTATTATTCAAATGCACAAGTGAGGCAGAGTATAAATGTGACTTGGCTCATTATCACCAAGTTTACTTGCAGGATCAAATTTAGAACCATGGTTTGTAATACTTTATATTACACAGTAGTCATCAGTCTGCATAGTTAAAAAAAACTAAACCTGTAATCCTAGCACTTTGGGAGGCCGAGGCGGGCGGATCACGAGGTCAAGAGATCAAGACCATCCTGGCCAACATGGTGAAACCCCGTCTGTACTTAAAAAAAAAAAAAATACAAAAATGAATTGGGCGTGGTGGCGCACGCCTGTAGTCCCAACTACTCAGGAGGCTGAGGCAGGAGAATCACTTGAAGCTGGGGGGTGGAGGTTGCAGTGAGCTGAGATCACGCCACTGCACTCCAGCCTGGGCAACAAGAGCAGGACTCCATCTCAGGAAAAAAAAAATTAAACCAGTTTTTAAAGCTATATGCATATTTATTAATTTCTCTCTAAGGGTACTTAGTTGTTTTTTTTACCCCCCTCCTTGCAAGGATTTAAAAAGAGAAAAAGGAAAGAGGTTCAGGGCTGGGTGCAGTGGCTCATGTCTGTAATCCCAGCACTTTGGGAGGCTGAGGCGGGAGGATCACTTAAGGCCAGGTGTTTGAGACCAGCGTGGGCAACAAAGAAAGACCCCATCTGGCTTTTTTTCTTTCCTTTTTTTTTTTTAGGGAGAGTCTCACTGTGTTGCCCAGGCTGGAGTGCAGTGGCACAATCTCGGCTCCCGAGTAGCTGGGATTATATGCAGGTGCCACCACACTCAGCTAATTTTTTTATATTTTTAGTAGAGACGGGGTTTTACCATGTTGGCCAGGCTGGTCTCGAACTCCTGACTTCAGGTGATCCACCCGCCTCGGCCTCCCAAAGTGCTGGGATTTACAGGTGTGAGCCACCATGCCTGGTCCCATCTTACTTTTTTAAAATGAGAAAAGATTCAGCTGTGTCTATTTAAAGGCTTCTCTCTCTCTCTCCTTTGGGAAGGACATGCTTTGTGCAGCTAAAATGGAGAAAGAGTGGCTAAGATCCTTAGGATCCAGAATGTCTGGCAACAAGCCCTAGTGGCTGCAATCACAACTATAAACATACAGCATTTCCCATCAGGGCATTTGCTCTGAAGAGGAGGATTCTTGTGGAAACAAGTAGGCTTAGAGAAATGCAAAACTACTCTTGGCACAGGCTGAGCTGCGGAGTGAAGCGCTCAGTTTAGCACTGTGGCTGAGAAGCTGTTGGTGTTATTCTCTGTGCTCACAAGAGAAGGTGTACAGTTGGTGTAGGATATGACAACAAAATGTTTTATAATCTCATCATACAAGCCCAAGAGAAGAGTGAATTTCAAGAAGTGTGAGTGCATGTTTAAAATTGTAACGAAGTTTTTTTCTCTTTGTTTTTGTACTTTTGAATAAAAATCTTCCTAGTAGATAGCAGTGCCTCCAGAAATGGTAGCTGATACCTTGAAATCTAGTTTAATTTCATTTAGCACATGACAGTGCAGTGCATGTCTTACAAGAAATTTTTATTCTCTCCATTATTACTCAATATGTCTACATCTCCCCTTGAAATTGCTCTATTATTGTGTGATAATGGAGAAATCTCTTAAACTTTCTGAACTGTGAATTTTTCCTTCTGTGGAGCAGTGAGGAAGATTCTTGATGTACTCTAAATGATTAACAAAAAGCATCATAATAGTTCAAGGCACAGATAGGCTTTGTAAGCTGAAAACCGTGGATTTGAAATCCTTCTTTATTACCTCTCAGCTTTGTTACCTTGAGTAAGTTTCTCATCCTCTCAGTTTCATCTTTGAGTGAAGGGTGGTAGTAATTATAACTGCCTCCTGGAGCTGTTCTGAGGATTATATCAAATATATGTGAAACTCTTTGTATATCATACCATACTAACATTATATATTAAATATGTATGATTGGAAACCTTGGTGATGATAAGGAAGGTGATATATGTGTGTGTATGCATGCTATTTTCTTTAGAAAGTGGTGACGTTATGCTGGGCACAGGTGTGTGTGCTTGTAGTTCCAGCTGCTTGAGAGGCTGAGGTGGGAGGATCACTTGAGCCTAGGAGTTTGAGACCAGCCTGGGCAACATAGCAAGACCTCATCTCTTAAAAAATAATAAAGAGGCTGGGTGCGGTGCCTCACGCCTGTAATCCCAGTGCTTTCGGACGCTGAGTTAGGAGGATTGCTTGAGCCCAGGAGTTCAAGACCAGCCTGGGCAACATAGTGAGACCCTGTCTGTTTATATTAAAAATAAAACTAGAAAAGGAAAAAGAAAGTGGTGAAGTTAAATGGGTTGTATTGAGGTTTCTAAAAACTACGACAACCAATCTTTTTGACATCCTCCTGTGTCCTCCCTTGAAATTGCTACCAGAGCTCCTTGACCTCTAACTTGGTGCCAGTATTAAAGTTAAAAGGTGAAATTGTAAGGTTCAGATATCTTATCAGCTATGTAAGCATCTATTTTGCATCTAACTTGGTACATGGAACACAATATCAGTCAGAATTAATCCAGAAACTTACATAATTTCAAAGAAAGTATTTTAAAATCATACTCTTAGGTGTCACTGAAATTAAAGAGGCTTTTCACTGTGGACAGCTTCATTAGATACTATTATGACTGTACTCTTTTTTTTTTTTTTAAACAAGTGCACTTGGCAAATGACACCTACCAGAATGAAAAGAAATCTGATTTTTTTAAAAAACAGTGAAGTTATTTTTAAAAACTTGATTGGAAAATGAGTTAATAAATATCAAGCACGTTGTGACTTCAGTTAACTTTATTTTTGAAGTTCTGGGTCAAGAATTTTTTCTTTAGCAGGAATGGGCATTTTGCAGATAGGTTAGCTTATTTGCCAGCTATCGTAGCCTTTTTAGTAAAATAAGTCATAAATTGTTTAGAATGAAGAGACTTTTTTTAATCCAAAAGAATCCATGGTTCATTGTAATATAACAATTTTATCAGTATTTCTAATTCTGGTATCAGTCATGCATATTCCATGGTGCCATTTGTATAATGTTACTACAACCCTATCTTGTCACTTTGTGATTTAATTTTTTGCTCTGAATACTTCACATAAACATATAGAGGGGTAGCTGCTTAATTCCACAGATTTACCATAGGCGATACCATGGAGTACAGATGACACTTTTCTACAAAAGTAGTCTTTTATGGAATGTTTAATTCCTTCCTTATCCCAATCCCTCTAGAATTCTTAGTTGATCATTAAGTTCAGATGTACAAACTACAAGCAAATCATCCTCAGAGACTTGGTTCAACCAAGAATTTTTTCTTAAGAAGCTTCAAAGATGAGGAAACTGACAAGTGAGACTCGTCTGTGGAAATATTTCATGGAGGAGTGACTTTTTAGAAAGAGCTTTTTGAAATATAATTCTTATACCATACACCTCACCCATTGAAAGTATACAGTCCATGGCTTTTAGTAGATTCACAGAGTGCAACCATTACTACAATTTTAGAACATTTTTATTATCTCAAAAGGAAGCCCCATACCTCTTAGGCATCACTGCCCAATCTCCCCATTCTCCCCCGGCACTAGGCAATTACTAATCTATTTTCTATCCCTATAGATTTGCCTATTCTGGACATCTTCTATAAAGGGAATCATACAATATGTCGTCCTTTGGGGCTGGCTTCTTTCCAGAAACATGTAATACATGGTCCTTCAGATCTGGCTACTTTTATTTAGCACATTGTTTTGAAGGTTTATCCATGTCATAATGCATTTCTTACTGCAAAATCATATTCTATTATGTGGATATGTCACATTTTATCCATTTATCAGTTGATGGACATTTATGTTGTTTCTACTTTTTGGACAGTATGAATAACGCTGCTGTGAATATCTGTGGAAACATTTATTCATTTCTCCTGGGTGTATACATGTAGGAGTAGATTAATCATTTAGGGAATTGCCAGACTATTTTCCAAACATGCCATACCTTTTACCACTAGCAATATATGAGGGTTTCAATTTCTGCACATTCTTACCAATTGTTATTATTATCTGTCTTTATAGCCATCCTAGTGGGTATGAAGTAGTATCACATTTTTATTTACACTTCCTTGGTGGTTAATGATGAGCTGAGCATCTTTTTATGTGCTTATTGGCCATTTGTAATCATCTTGGAAGAACTGTCTGTTCAGGTCCTCTGTCCATTTTGTAATTGGATTGTCTTTTCAATTTTGACTTATAATTTTTTATATATTCTGTGTACAAGTTCCTTATCAGATGTATGATTTGCAAGATTCTTTCCTCTGTGGTTTTTATCTTTTCACTTTGTTAATGGTGTCCTTTGAAGCATAACAGTTTTTAATTTTGATCATATCTATTTTTTTTCTTTTGTTGTTTATGTTTTTGGTGTCATATCTGAGAAACCACTGCCTATCCTAAATCAAGGACCAGGAAAAAAACACAAACAGACTCATTGACTATTCAAGGTCACAAAGATTTACATCCATGTTTTCTTACGAGAGTTTTAGATTTAGGTCTTTCATCCAAAAGATCAAGACTATTCATCTTTTCCCTGTGAGTTATCTTGACAGAGGAAATGATTCTTCAGCATTGTCTTTAAAGGAGGAATTTAAATAGCAGAAATGATAGCATTCCAGTCTGGTTTCTAGATAAATTATGTGAATTATATGAGATTAAGATAAGATATTTGAATCAGAGAGGTGTTTGCCTGTGTTGTATATAAGTAAGAGTTAAAATACGGAATTAGAGAATGAAGTTGTAGTGGTAGAAGTCTGTTAAGATATAACTGATGATCTCAACCTCTTCTGTTTAATAAGTTGTGGAATCTTCAGTGATTATAATAAGTGTGTGGAGAAATGGAGACAAGTTTAAGTATATGAGAGCTGCTCTAAATTTATAAGATAAAGCCAACAGAAAGCAGTTAAAGCAGAGATCGAGCATAAAAAATGTAATTTATAATTTTATTTCCTTCAAATAAATATAGCAGCACAGAATTAGAGACAATTAACTCAGTGGCAAAGTAGTAGAAAGATTGTTAGTGAAGAGTCAGAAGTCCTTAGTTCTAATTATAATCTATATTAGGTGTGTGACCTTGAATAAATCATGGCCTTCTGAATGGTAGCTTGCCTTTACTGAGGCTCTAACATATGCAGGACTTTTGCAAGCCTCAATCTTCTCTTTTATAAAATGGAGATAATGTCAAATTACTTTGGAAACTTTTTAAACAGCCATACAGGTAGAAGGGATTATTATATTTGAAATTTGGAAATTATTCAGTGCAGTACTACTAGTAGCAGCTGATAGTACATGTGTCTTTATTCAAAACAATTATGTAAGGGATGCTGTATCCTCCTTTTGATGATGAAGAAACCAGTTTTCAGTAATTATGAAAGTTATACTGTCATAGTCAACACAGCAGTGATTCTAATCCAGTTCTTCCTGATTTCTTTATATCACCATGATTTTTGCTTGAAAGATAATAGATCCTGGTGGGTGGGTATGGAAAGGGAATAGGATACTAGCAATGAGACTAAAATTATTAGACATATTAGACATATGAAAGCTTAAGGTATAATTCCAAAGGGGCAATGAGTCCTGAGATTGGTGATCTCAGATGTGAAGTGGAAGAGTGCCATATGTTAATAAGGTTAAAGGTATATGCTATCTGATTAACTTATAAGTACCAGAACTAGATGTTGTAAAGCCCAGTCAAATAATAGTTTATCTGTACGTGTGCTAGAATCTTTGAAATTTTTGTTCAGGAGTCAAAGAAAGAAGACCAGTGAGGTAATGAAGTCACAATGGGGAACAGTGGTAAGTACAAGAGGCCAAAATAAATTACAGCTTGTAGAGATAGGTAGACTTTGCTTTGAACTATGAAAAAATCATTTCTTAGAATTGGTTCTCATATTTATACTCTTCTCACCCCACCGATAAAGGGCCTGTGGTTACTTTCCCAATGTCATGGAACTAAGCATCTCTTGAGTACTTTATAGCTCTGATCTCAGCTTTTTGCATACTTCTCACCCTTCCCGTGGTTGAGTTGAGAACTCCCATGAGTTAGGAAACATTATTTGGGAATATATTAAGAGTCATACCAGAAAGGAAGTACAGAAAAGAGCAGAACAATTTTTATTCCTTGATTTATCCTATGCCATTGCCTTTTTAATGACGAGTACAAAGTTTAAGCTTTACTTGTGCTACTAAGTTATCAAGCAGTGGACATGCTTCTCTTGGATAGAACTGAGGTGTGGAGATGTCATCAGCTGGCACAGGGGAAGCAAAGAACTTTGAACTCTAATTCTGACTAGCAGACTTGCAATTTCTGCATAGAAATTCATAGTGATTGGTATCTAGGAGAATACATCTGAGATGGAAGTATGGAACAGGAAAGGTAACTAGTATATATTGGGCCCAGGCTCCATGCAAGGCAGTCTGAAACACGTGCAGACTAGGACGTCTTCAGAGATTGCAAAGACCTGAGCTGTTCTCACTTACACCGCTCTGTTTCTCTGAAATGGCAGGACTGGGATTCAGAAGGAACAATTGAGTTGAGAAACATTATTTGAGAGAAAACTAATGCTGTATGCTAACCTTGCACGTAAGTGCTTGTGTGCTTAATAAATGACGAGGAATAGCAAAAGAGGGAACCAAAAGTAAGAATCTTAAATCTAGTTTACCCTTTTCCTATGTAGTATTTAAGATCAGGGAATCTGAAATCAGACTCCTCAGGTTTTCGCAATATTTCTTTCTTCCATTAACTTATGCAACAGGACATTGAACCTGTTTGGTGTAAAGGAAACTAATAGTGGGGAAAAAAATTTTTAGGCTGTTTTACTTGGAGATTATATGCTAATTGCCAGACTGCTTGCCAGTGAGTTCAGTCTTCTGTGCTGACCAACTTGTGACAAAAATGGAGATTAGATACTTAATATTTGGTAATAATATGCTAAGGGACCTGTTCCTTACTAGACTATCTCTCTTCCAGTATCAAGTCAGGTTACCAGAAAGCTACAGACTTAAACTGTGTTCCTTCAGCTCATGTAGAAACTCATTCACTGAACTATGATCTTATAAGCCCTTGGTTATTGTTGTAGATGGTTATAAGAATCATCTGTGGGCCAGGCGCAGTGGCTCACGCAATCTCAGCACTTTGGGAGGCCGAGGCGGGTGGATCACTTGAGGTCAGGAGTTTGAGACAGCCTGGCCAACATGGTAGAATTCCGTCTCTACTGAAAATACAAAAATTAGCCAGGTGTGTTGGTGCATGCCTGTAATCCCAGCTAGTCAGGAGGCTGAGGCATGAGAATTTCTTGAATCTGGGAGGCAGAGGCTGCAGTGAGCCCAGATGGTGCCACTGCACTCCAGCCTGGGAGACAGAGTGAGATTCTGTCTCAAAAAAAGAATCATCTGTGAAGGATATCTTTTAATCTTTAAAAAAGATAATTCTTAAAGATTTTAGTTAGGCTGGGCATGGTGGCTCCTGCCTTTAATCCCAGCAGTTTGGGAGACCAAGGTAGGTGTGTCTCTTGAGCCCAGGAGTTTGAGACCAGCCTGGGCAACATGGCAAAACCCCATCTCTACAAAAAATACAAAAATTAGCTGGGCGTGGTGGCGCGTGCCTGTAGTCCCAGGTAGTCAGGAGGCTGAGGTGGGAGGATCACTTACCCAGGTGGCGGAGGTTGCTGGGAGCTGAGATTTCACCATTGCACTCCAGGCTGGGTGACAGAGTGAGACCCTGTCTCAAACAAAAACAAAAAAAAGATTTTAATTATTAGTTCTTCTTATATAAAAGTCCATGTGTAAATTTCTCCTCCAGTTAAGTGGAGATAAATTCTATTCTTAAACACTTTTTTTAATCGCCAATGAAAAAAATTACAATGAAACCACGCTATCTCCATTTTTGCTTTGGTTGCTAGAAAACTCAAAAGTGTTCACTTGCAGTAGCTAGCCTTGGTTTATGTTTCTAGTTCAATTGTCTGCTTCCCTGTCTCCTATTATAACTTTTATTCTTTAATTGTAGTTTTTATTGAAACAGTAGTTGTTATTAAAAGTTTTTTAAAAACAAATAAATTTTACAAGTCATTTTAAATTCCTGTTTGGAAGTAAAGTAGGTTATGGATTAGTAACTGGTACTGCAACAGAATTGTGTAATATATGAAGATCTATTCCAGGAATACTGCTTCCTAATTAACGTGACGCCTGAGTAGAGTGCCTTTTGAAACATACAGTGTTAGAACTGAAAAGCCAAAAGTGAAAATTGAAAGCTCTCTTTCTTTTTTCTTCTTCTCTTTTTTTTTTTTTTTTTGTTTAGGCGGAGTCTCACTCTGTTGCCCAGGCCGGAGTACAATGGCACAATCTCGGCTCACTGCAACCTCTGCCTCCCAGGTTCAAGTGATTACCCTGCCTCAGCTTCCTGAGTAGCTGGGGTTACAGGTGCCCACCACCACGCTTGGCTAATTTTTGTATTTTTAGTAGAGATGGGGTTTTGCCGTGTTGGCCAGGCTGGTCTTGAACTCCTGATCTCAGGTGGTCTGCCCACGTCAGCCTCCCAAAGTGCTGGGATTACAGGCGTGAAACACTGCGCCTGGCTGAGCTCTCTTTCTTTTAAGAAAGAAGTATAGTTCTGGAGTTTATATATATTATTTCTGCCCTAAGACATGTGACTCATAGGCCAATGGTTTCTAGCCTGTGCACTTAGATCCTTGGTTACAGTGGAACTATTTTAAGTGGTCAACTTTTTAATATCATTGAATATTAGATGATATCAAGAAATTATGGTAAATTTAGTAGGTGTGAGAATGGCATTGTAGTTATTTAGGAGAATGGCTTTAAATTTTGGAGATATGTGCTGAAGTATTTTGGGGTGTGTGTCTTAGTTTGTAGGGCTACTATAACAAAATGCGCTAGACTGGGTAGTTTAAAAACAACAGAAATTTATTTCTCACAGTTCTGGAAACTGGGAAGTCCAAGTTCAAGGTGCCAGCAGATTTGGTGTCTGGTGAAGGCCTATTTCTCATAGATAGATGTCACCTTCTTGCTGCATCATCACATGGTGAAAGGGGCAAGAGAATTCCGTCAAGCCTCTTTTTTTTTTTTTCTGAGATGGAGGCTTGCTGTGTTGCCCAGGCTGGAGTGCAGCGGCGTGATCTCGGCTCACTACAACCTCCGCTTCCTGGGTTCAAGCAATTCTCTGTTTCAGTCTCCTGAGTAGCTGCGATTACAGGTGTGTGCCACCACGCCCAGCTAATCTTTGTATTTTTTTCGTAGAGATGGGGTTTTGCCATGTTGGCCAGACCAGACTGGTCTCTGGTCTTGAACTCCTGACCTCAGGTGATTCGCCCACCTCAGCCTCCCAAAGTGCTGGGATTACAGGTGTGAGCCACCACGCCCGGCCCCCCTCTAGCCTCTTTTATAAGGCAGCAGTCACATTCATGAGGGTGAAGCCCTTATGACTTAATCACTTTCCAAAAGCCCCACCTTTTAACACTATCACATTGGGTATTAGGTTCCAACATATGAATTTTGGGGAGACATGCAGATCATAGCAGTGTGGAGGATCATATGTAATTTACTTTAAGTGGTTTAGGTTTGCATATGTGTGAAAGTGAAGCAAATATGGCAAAAGGTTAACAGTTGTTGAGTATGGGTGGTAGGTATATGGCTGTTTATTATAACATCTTTTCTGGTTTTTTTTCCAGTATATTTGAAATTTTTTATAATTAAAAGTTAGAGAAAGGGTACTCATACTTGAATAATTGCGGCCGGGCGCAGTGGCTCACGCTTGTAATCCCAGCACTTTGGGAGGCTGAGCCAGGTGGATCATGAGGTCAGGAGTTCGAGACCAGCCTGACCAACACAGTGAAACCCTGTCTCTACTAAAATTACAAAAATTAGCTGGGCGTGGTGGCGGGCGCCTGTGATCCCAGCTACTCAGGAGGCTGAGACAGGAGAATCACTTGAACCTGGGAGGTGGGGGTGGCAGTGAGCCGAGATTGTGCCATTGCATTCCAGCCTGGGCAGCAGAGCTAGACTCCATCTCAAAAAAAAAAAAAAAGAAAAGAAAATAATAATTGTCATTACTAGTCCAGCCTTCATTTTTTTAAAGGAGAAGTTTCATCACAATTATTAAATGGCCTAGACTTGTTTTTGCCTAACATTGTACAACTAACATAAAGGGATAAGTAACTAAAGTATTAAACAATTGTGTGATAAAATTATTGCCACAGTTTTCACTATCCTGAGTGACTCTACAGTGTAGCATTCTGGCAGGCTCTGCACGGGATACAGGTATGTCCTGCCAGTTGCAGATGCAGATGAGTCAGTAGAATTGATAGTTTGGCATTTGTGCCAGTAGATACCAAGTGAACATGGTGATCACTTGCTCATCCTCCTCACAATCCCTGCACGAGATCCACAGCCTTAACTCAGGTGACCCAGCAGATTTTTGGGTCATTTGTAAGATCAAAAAAACAAATTCTCTACTTTCTTACCCAGCAAGTCATATGAGAGCCAGAAGAGGGTATAGAATGAGTAAAACTCCCCTTTCTACTCTGGCCAAAGTACATTACTTAAGGTCTACAGATAAGAGCAGGTCTTTCGGCTCTACTCCATGTAGACTTTTCTTTCTCTGATGTTCCAGGAGTCCCCCCAGAAGGTCAGCAGGCTTCTACCATGTTCGCAGCTTTGAACGAAATCACTGCCAGGCTGCAAGATGTGCCAAATAACCTGCTGTACTGTATTGTAGCAGATGATGGTGGGGAAAGCAAGAGAGCTCATAGAGGCTGCTCCTCTCCTTACTGTCTTGAGTCATGAGACCTTTACTTAGGATATAACAGAAGCTAACCTGTTTTTCACTTGCTCTCTTACATGCACTTTTGAAACGTATTAAATCTTCATAATCCCTGGTTCTCTTTGCTTTTTTTTTTTTTTTTAAGAGAGTCTTGGCTCTGTCGCCCAGGCTGGAGTGCAGTGGCACAATCATAGTTCACAGCAGCCTTGAACTCCTGGGCTCAAGAGATCCTCCCGCCTCAGCCTCCCAAGTAGCTAGGACTACAGGTGCGTGCCACAACACCTGGCTATTTTTTTCTTTTTCCTTTTTTGTGGAGACAGGATCTCACTGTGTTGCCAAGGCTGGTCTCAAACTCTTGCCTCAAGCAATCCTCCTGCCTCAGCTCCCAAAGTGCTGGGATTACAGGAGTGAGCCATCACACCTGGCCCCTTTTAGCTTGCTTAAACACACTTTTTTGGCGAAGTGTGTTTAGCTAACATATTGTTAGAATATTCTTTCATTAAACATTTGAATGTTAACAATGTAATGTATATATGTTCTCATAGTTTTTTTCTTTCTGATTTTTGTGTTATAAAATATTTCAAACAGAGGCTGGGTGCAGTGGCTCACGCCTGTAATCCCAACACTTTGGGAGGCCAAGGCGGGCGGGTCATGAGGTCAGGAGATAGAGACCAGCCTGGCTAACACAGTGAAACCCCATCTCTGCTAAAAATGTAAAAAATTAGCCGGGCGTGGTGGCGGGCGCCTGTAGTCCCAGCTGCTTGGGAGGCTGAGGCAGGAGAACAGCATGAACCCGGAGACGGAGCTTGCAGTGAGCCGAGATCACGCCACTGCACTCCAGCCTGGGTGACAGGGCGAGACTCCATCTCAAAAAAAAAAAAAAAATTTCGAACAGAAAAATAAAGAGATTAATGGGTGGCTGTATGCAAGAAAAATGAAAAAGAGAATAACAACAAACACTCAAGCACAATTACCAAGCTTTTCAAACTTGGTACTTTCATTTTTTTGTGTACCATTCCTCAATCCATTCCGCTTCTTCAGAGACAAGTACTATCCTGAATTTAGTGTTTTTCATTAACATATGTGTTTTATTCTTTTGTGTTTTTTGAGACAGAATCTCCCTCTGTCACCCATGCTGGAGTGCAGTGATGCAATCACAGCTCACTGCAGCCTCTGCCTTCTGGGCTCAAGCAATCCTCCCACCTCAGCCTCAAGTAGCTGGGACTACAGGCACCAGCACCAAGCCCAGCTAATTTTTATATTGTTTGTAGTGACGGGGTTTCTCCATGTTGCCCAGGCTGATGTCAAACTCCTGAGCTTAAGCAGTCTGCCCACCTCAGCCTCTCAAATAACAAATATGTCTATGTACTTGTATTGCATGTACATCTGTCCATAAAAAAACATATAGTTTTGTTTTACATGATTTTAAATTTTATGTAAATGATTCTCTTCTACATGTTATGCAAGTCTGTATACGCAAAATTTCTTTACTCTTTTCACTTGATATCATGCTTTTGAAATTATTTACACTGATAACATATAGTTCTGATCTACTTGTTGTATAGTATTCTGTTTTATGAATATACCAGTTTGTAAGTTGATTCTCCTGTTAATGGACATACAGTTTTCAATATTTCATTGTTTCATAAACAGTGCTACAGTGAATACTCTTGAACATGTCTTCTTATGCAAATATATGGAGTTTCTCTAGTATATACTAATTTATCTAGTAATTCCTAGGAATGGATTTACTGGGTTATACAGTATATTCATCTTCTGTTTAACTAGATATTGCTAAATTGCTATCCAGAGTGATTATGCTAACTTATTCCTATCAGTAGTGTGTGAAAGTTCCCATTGACCTGCATCTTCACAAACACTTAAAATTTTTGCCTGTTCGTGGATGTGAAATGGTGCTATCTACACAGTTTCTTTCTGTGTAGTGATTTGTTTATGTTGGGCAAAGCTTATGATAGCTAGTGGAGCTGATTGACATCCTAGATATTTTAATTCAGGAAATATTAGTGCTTAATTATACAAACAGGTTGGTAGGCTATTCTGAATGAAATGCTGCTTGCTGGTGAAATACTCTGTTTTCAAGACCGCAAAACTAAAACCTTGTTTTAGGAATTCTATACAAGAATAACTTTGGGGAAAATTTTTTCCCTTAGGGCATTTCCACTTTCCAAATTTTTCCTCGTTGTTCCCTTTTCCTCCAATGATTCTCTTAATTCTGACTGATACCAGTCAGGGCATGAAAGAATGAAATGTCCAAACCCTTACTGACAAATTATACCTGACAGCAGAATAAACCCACATCTACTAAGAGGCTTCCATGGTTTTTACTGCTATCACTTTGATTACTCCAATAATGAAACTATTGAATCTGTTTCTTAGAAGCCAAGGTAAGAAAGCAGAGAATAGTCTGCCATTGAACTGATAGCATCTGTTTTATAATTATCTGGTGACTTTTCTAGAGAAGATGCATAAAGGCTGTGTTGTTTCATGTACACCACACTTGAATGATTGCTTCTTGAGTTGGATTGTACTCCAGTTATCTATTTCTGTGTAACAGTTCACCTCAGAACTTCGTGGCTTAAGATGCCTGTTATGGGTAAGATGGAGCAAACACATTTCACCTGTCTTTTCTACTGAACTCAGCTAAAACACCTGGCCTAGAGCAACTATTTGAGGACTCCAAAAGACGTATCTTAAAAGTTGCACTAAGAAGGAGCAGATTTTGAAGTACTGTTGAACCAGGGTTTAATTTATCATTCTCACCTCTCTCATATCCTCAGGCTTCAAATCAACACAGCCTAAAACCCCTAAGTGGACATTAATGTGGATAAGAGAACTCTAGGAGAAGCCTTCAGTTCTGGTTCAAAGAATGGGAAGGCGATATTGTAATACTAATAGAAAGTACAGAAACTTTTTCTTTTTTCCTTTTTCTTTCCTCTGTTCTCTTGCACCATGAACCTCAAGCAGTCCTGCAGTGACAGCAGATTGGGGTCTAGCAAGAGCTTAAAACTCTGATTTTAGGGAACCATTCTCAGATCAGTGGAGCTGTGGTTACAAGAGGGTGGAATGAGTCTCAATTGCTTTTTTTCTCTCTCCTTCATCTGCTTGCTTCCAAACAAAGGCACTATTATGGAAATTGTATGGCTGAGCAGAGTAAATAACATACCAGCTTTCTGACTAGGTAATGAGAAAGGGGAATCCCATTGACCTAGAAAGTACTGGGAGATTATAAGATATTTGAAAATAAACTCTTTAAATTTTATTATGAATTTTTGAGCTTATTCATGCAGTCTGCATGCAGAAATCTGACCCCAAACAGTATACCTAGACTTTGAGAAATGAAGTAGGGGTTAGACCATTGCCAAGTCCCAGACTGGCAACAGGGTGGGTGGTGCATCTGTGGGACAGATCCAAAAAGCACTGCAAAGACTTTGAAAACTTAACTGACATTGGAGTTCTGGCTGGGGAACAGTGCAAGGATGTCCTCTCTGGCAATTTCTATTGGTATTGAAGTTCTCGCCAGTAAAATAAATCAAGAAAAGGAAATAAAAGACATACAAATTGGAAAGAAAGAAGTAAAACAATTTCTATTCACTGGCTACATCACTGTATATGTAGAAAACCAAGGAATCCACAGAATACTCCTAGAACTAAGTGAGGTTAGCAAGGTTGCAACATACTATGCCAGTCTACACAAAATATTTAGAAAAAAAATTTCAAAAAGTTCCAAAAAGCAAAATTTGAATTTGCCACACATGAAATACTATGTTGAATCCATGTGAATGAAGTGATGTGTAGGCATTGCATTGGGTATTATAAATCTAGAGATTCTTTAAAACATATGGGAAGCCAGGCACAGTGGCTCACACCTGTAATCCCAGACCTTTGGGAGGCTGAGGCAGGTGAATCGTTTAAGCTCAGGAGTTCAAGACCAGCCTGGGCAGCATGGCAAAACCCTGTCTCTACCAAAAAAAATACGAAAAACTAGCCGGGCTTGGGGGCTGACACCTGTAGTCTCAGCTCCTTGGGAGGCTGAGGTGGGAGGATGGCTTGAGCCAGTAAGTATGAAATTAGCTGCTGTGTAAAAAAATTTTGGGCCAGGCACGGTGGCTCACGCCTGTTTAAAAAAAAAAAAATGATGAAGTTCCCCTCTATTCCTAATTTGCTAAGAGTTCTTATTTATTTATTTATTTAGAGACGGAGTCTCACTCTGTCACCCAGACTGGAGTGCAGTGGCACGATGTCGGTTAACTGCAACCTCTGCCTCCTGGGTTCAAGTGATTCTTGTGCCTCAGTCTCCCAAGTAGCTGGGATTACAGGCATGCATCACGATGTCTAGCTAATTTTTGTATTTTTAGTAGAGACAGGGTTTCACCATGTTGGCTAGACTGGTCTCAAACTCCTGGCCTCATGTGATCTCTCCACCTTGGCCTCCCAAAGTGCTGAGATTACAGGTGTGAGCCACCGCGTCCAGCCTAATTGGCTAAGAGTTTAATAATGAGTGGCTGTTGACTTTTCTCAAATGCTTTTCCTGTATAAATTGATATCATGTGGTTTTGCTTCTCTGGGCTAATGTTGCTTACCTTGCTTGGTTTTCAAATATTGAACCAGCATTGCATTCCTGATACAAACCCTGCTTGGTTATGGTATATTATTCTTCATATACATTGCTAGGTTTGATTTGCTAGTATGAGGGCTATTGGTCTGCTGTCTTGTTTTGTTTTAACAGATCTTCTCCGGGTTTAATTCCTGGATAATGCTGGCTTCATAAAATGAGTTCCTCCTTCTGCTTTCTGGAACAGATTGTATAGAATTGATTTATTTGTAATGAATGTTTGGTAGAATTTAGTGAAACCACAGGGAGATTTCTTTTTCAGAATATGTTTAATTACAAAATTTCATTTTAAAAACTGTTATATAACCATTCAGTTTATCTATTTCATCTTAGGTGATTCTGGTAGTTTGTTGTTTGAGAATTTGGTCCGCTTCATGTAAACTGTTGATTTATGTACACACAGTTCTTTGTAGGCATTCCCTATTATCCTTTTAACACAATTCCAATCAGAAATCTCAGCAGGACCTTTTTGTAGAGATAGACAAGCTTATTCTTAAATATATATCGAAAGGCAAAAGAACTAGAAGAGTCAACCATACTGGAAAAGAAAAATAAAGTTACGTGAATTATTCTGCCCAGCTTTCAGACTTACCATAAAGCTACAGTAACCAAGATGAGGCCATATTAGTAAAAGGGTACACATGTAGATTAATGGAATAGAATAGAAAGTTCAGAAATAGACCCACGTAAATATTGCCAGTTCATATTTCACAAAAATACAAAGGCAATTCAATGGAGAAAGGATAGTGTTTTCAAAAAGAGGTGTTGGAAAAAGTAGAAATCTGTAGGCAAAAACTTGAACTTCTCACACCTTATATAAAAATTAACACAAAATAAATCATAAATTAATATATAAAATAAACTATGAAACTTTTAGAACAACACAGGAAATTTTTAATCTGTGAAAGATGCTATCGAGAGAATTAAAGGGCATGCTGCATATTGGGAGAAAAATTTGTAAATCACATATCTGACAAAGGACTTATATTCAGAATACAGATGGTTCCTGACTTAAAATGGTTCAACTTAACAATTTTTTTGACTTTACAATGGTGCAAAAGCAATATATGTCTAGCAGAAACCATATTTCGAGTACCTGTACAACTATTCTGTTATTCACTATCAGTACAATAGTCAATAAATTATTTTTCTATTTTTTTATTTTATTTATTTAAAAATTTTTTTAAAAGCAGAGACAAGGTCTCACTCGTTGGCCAGGCTGGTCTTGAACTCCTGGGCTCAATTATTCCTCCCATCTCCGCTCAATATTCCTCCCATCTCAGCCTCCTAAAGTGCTGGGATTACAGGCATGAGCCACTGTGCCTGGCCTCATTCCTTTTTATGAAATAGGCTTTGCGTTAGGTGATTTTGCCAACTGTGGGCTAATGTAAGCGTTCTGAGCAATTTAAGGTAGGTTAGGCTAAGCCATGATGTTCAGTAAGTTAGGTATATTAAATACACTTTCAACTTGCAATATTTTCATTTTATTATTTTTTTACGATGGGATTCTTGCTGTGTTGACTAGACTGGTCTCAACCTCCTGGCCTCAAGTGACCTCCCATCTTGGCCTCCCAAAGTGCTGGGATTATACATGTGAGCTACTGTGCCTGGCCAATATTTTCATCTCACAGTTCATTTATTGAGACAAAAGTCAAGGAACAGCTGTATATAAAAAATTGTCAAAGCTCAATAGTTTTATTTTTAAACCCTATATAATACATGGTCAAATGTCTTAAACAGATTCTTTACAAAAGATTCTTTAATGTCTTAAACAGATTCTTTAAAACAGACAACAAAAGTTGTCATATACAATGACAACTAAATACATAAAAAGATATTTAGCCTTAGTATCCATTAAGAAAATGCATTTAAAATCTTGATGAGGTACCACTCTTAAAATGACTAAAATAAAAAACTGACAGTTGCAAATGCTGACAAGGATGCAGAGAACAATTGGAACTCTCATACACTGCTGGTAGGAAAGGAAAATGGCAAAACTACTCTGGAAAAATTTGGTGATTTTTTTTTTTAAGTTAAACATACTCTGAACATGTGACCCAGTAAATCCATGCCTAGGTATTTAACCTAGAAACATGAAAACTTACATTTCTATGAAATCCTCTACACTGATGTTTATGGCATCTCTACTCACAATTGCTAAAAAATGGAAACCATCCAAATGTCCTTCAACAGGTGAATGGATAAACTGTGGTATATACATACAATGAACTACTACTCAGCAATGAAAAGGAATGAACTATGATACATGCATCATCCTTTATGCATCTCAAAGACATTGTGTTGATAAATCAGTCTCAGAAAGTTATATACTGTATGATTCTGTTTATGTGACACTCTCAGAAAGATAGGACTATAGTGAAAAAGAATAAGTTAAGGGTTAGTGGTGGGGTTAGGTGTGACTATATAAGGAAGTCTTTTGGAACTTCTCTGTATCCTGATTATACTGCTGGTGGTTTCATGAGTCTATGCATGTTTTAAAATTCATAGAACTGTACACATACGTAAAAAGTAAATTCTGTGGTGTTAAGAAATTTTTTAAAAACTTTGTAGCTTGCTGGGCACGGTGGCTCACACCTGTAATCCCAGTGCTTTGGGAGGCCGAGATGGGCAGATCACAAGGTCAGGAGTTCAAAACCAGCCTGGCCAACATGGTGAAACCCCATCTCTACTAAAATTACAAAAATTAGCTGGGCGTGGTGGCCGGCGCCTGTAATCCCAGCTACTTGGGAGACTGAGGCACAAGAATCGCTTGAACCCTGGAGGCGGAGGTTGCAGTGAGTCAAGATCGCACCATTGCACTCCAGTCTAGGCGACAGAGCAAGACTCCATCTCAGAACAACAACAACAAAAAAAACTTTGTAGCTTAAAGTGACAATTTATTTGTCTTGATTCTGTGGGTTGAACAGGCACTTCTGGTTTGTATCAAGTTCCCTATATTAATAAACTTTGCTTTAGGTTAAACCTGTTTATCTTACTCATTTTTATATCCCTAAATGTCCCATATAGTGTGCCTGTCACATAATAAGAATTATTCAATAAATTAGTACAGAGCCCTTCTGCTTTAGGTCAAAGCAAAGTTTATTAAGTTTGCTGAGGTATTGGGATGATCAGAAAGTCCAAATAGCCTCACTCACATGCTAGCTGTTTATGTTAGCTGCTGACTCTGAGTTCAGCTGTGGCTTTTGGCCAGGGACCTTGATTACACTAGTTGGGCTTTTTTGTAGCATGGCAGCTGAGTTCGAATAATCCCCAATTTGCAAGAACTTAACAAGTCTCTGTTTGCATAGTTGTTGATAGTATGCCATTTGCTATAGCTAGTCACAGCTAGTCACCAAGCCCAAAGTCAGTATGGGAAGAAGACTACGTGGGGCATCAGTACCAAGAGGGCTGGCTCATTAGGGACCTCCAAATTACTGTCAGTTGCAGATAGTGAGGGCTTTTGTTTTATTTTTGTTGTAACAGCTTTCTCAGCTTTCCTTCAGACCTTCAGGACTACCTATATTACTTTAGCAAGAAACATTAAGAGACTCCATTATCTAAGAAGGAATAATTGAAGATTGCCTGTTATTTATAAAGATGTAAAATGTGATTATTTTAAACATGTTGAAAATGTATTATTTTTCTGTAAGCTTTGATGATTATAGACTTACATCTTTATAAAGATTTAAAATTCATATTTATAAAAATGAAGCCCACCAACTTCATTCTTTGTGTACCTAATCAGTTTTCCCCAGAATTTTTCTACCATTTATTGATCCTCAGTAAGGTTCCAAAAAACCTCACATAGCACTATAGACAATCTCAGAATTAATTCTGGGGCTAGAAAGGAACCTTCATTGATCATGCAGTCAAACAGCATTCCAAAGAAATAATTTGTCCAAAAAAAGCCTCCACAGAGGATTTATATAGTGAAGCTATAAGGCAGGAATACCAAACCATGAACATCTCTGCAAAGTGAGTACATTGCAGAAATTGAAGAGTTTTTGTTTTTTGTTCATTTGTTTGTTCCATTGTTTTCATACAATGGTGACATAAAAAAACAGATTGGTATGACAGTGCATGAAGTAGGAACAAGATTGTAGGAGGGTACACCATGGTTTAGTAGAAAGAACAGAAATGGAGAATCAGTACATGTGGATTCTAGATCTGATAGGGCCACAACTACATCATTCAATTCTCCTTTCAAAGACTAGGGTTTTGTACTACAGAATAAGATGTTTGGTTTGAACAGTGGTTCTTTTTTTTTTTTTTTTTTTTTTTTTTTTTTGAGACAGAGTCTTGCTCTGTTACCCAGGCTGAAGTGCAGTGGCACCATCTCAGCTCACTGCAACCTCTGGGTTCAAGCAGTTCTGCCTCAGCCTCCCAAGTAGCCGAGATTACAGGTGTGCGCCACCTCACCCAGCTAATTTTTGTATTTTTAATAGAGACAGGGTTTTACCATGTTGGCCAGGCTGGTCTCGAACTCTTGACCTCAGGTGATCCTCCCACCTCGCCTTCCTAAAGTGCTGGGATTACAGGTGTGAGCCATCATGCCCGGCCTTCACATCCCTAGGAGACTTGAGATATTAGAATCTCTAATGGAGAGGTATACTTTTTAAAAAGTAGAGTCCGTATAATTCTTGTTTTAAAACTATAAACTACAGATAGTAAAGCACAATAAAATAATCCAGAGTGGCAGGAATGCATAGCTAGACTGTAGAGCGAGACCGTATTGTAGAGGATGTAAAGTTTTTATTTGTTTGTTTTGTTTTAATGTTGAGAAATAGTAGCCTAGAGAACACAGATGATCTCAAAAGTCAGTAGAGGGCAAGAACCTGTTCATCTTATTCATTTTTGTATCCCTAAATGTCCCATATAGTGTGCCTGGCACATAGTAAGAATTATTGAATAAATACGAAGCCCTTCTAGTTAGAAAATTTTGTCTCCGACATTGAGGATAGTAATTTAGAGCTGCAAAAGTTTCACTCTGTTGTTAGTCCTACTTCTCCTCTACAGATAAGGTATGACTGACTCTTTTTGTTCCATATTAATGCCTATTCCCTTTTGGCCCAAAGTCTGTACCTGTACATACAGGTAGATACAGGTACCTGTCTGTACCTATACAGATTTACATAATTTATCAGATGTTCCCTTCTATTCCTATCCTGGTTCATAGAATGATTATCTTTAGGTTTTTGGGTACAAATGTAGAAATCAAAACATTAGTTGTATCTCCTACCTTTGGCAGTAGACTAAAACCCATACTCCAAAGGACTGTTTACTGCTTTCCCAGACTTTTCTCTTGGCCTTGTGTTAAGATATTGCTAAGAAAGAAGCTCAGAACTAAAAAATTTAGTACGGTTGTTTCTTTTCAATTGGTAATAACCACCATTCTGGGCACTGTTTCTTGTGCATCTTAAAACTAGGGAATCAAAATTTCCTTTGATAGTGTAAGTATAACAAAAAAAAAAATCAATGTTCAAAGTAGATTACTCTTTCAGAGGTTCTTATAAAATGACCTAAAGAAAAGTTTATTAATACAGGAAACTTGCCTATCCAGTCTTTCAAAATTACCTGCTTTGAAACAATCCAGTAATGATTTTTTTCTATTTTCTTTTTTCTATTTCTATAATGACTTTTTTCTATTTCTTTTTTCTATTTACTTAAAAAAATAAGATGCTATGTTTCGTTTTTATTGAAGTAAAATTCTTAAAGAATGAAAAAATTATATTAGAAATTGTACGATTAGGCCGCGCACAGTGGCTCACATCTGTAATCCCAACACTCTAGGAGGCCAAGGCAGGAGGATCACTTGTCAGGAGTTTGAGACCAGCCTGGCCAACATGGTGAAACCCCATCTCTACTAAAAATACAAAATTAGTGGGTGTGGTGGCACATACTTGTAATTCCAGCTACCTGGGAGGCTGAGGCAGGAGAATCACCTGAGCCCAGGAGGCGGAGGTTGCGGTGAGCTGAAATCACACCATTGCACTTCAGCCTGGATGGCAGAGCAAGACCCTGTCTCAAAAAGAAAAAGAAAATGAAATTGTATGATTATCTTTAGGTTTTTGGGTACAAATGTAGATCCTCAAAAACTTTATCAGAAATTTGGAAATCTGTAAATAAGTTATATGTATCTCCTTTTAAAATCCAATATTAGTAAGCTATATGTATAAAAACAAAGCTAGTGTATCTTGAAAAGTTTTTATTTCTTTATTCCTTATCCCTCCTTATCCCACTGAACTATTGAAGAACTTCTTATAGATTTACCTTCCCATTAGTGCTGTAGTACAGTTTTCTTTTATCTCCATTGTCTTGTGTTTCCTGGCTAAATTTTACTTGTTATAAAACTATTGGGTCACTTTTGGTCTAGAATAGAACTTTCATAGTATAAGGGACACCATAAAATGTAAAGGAATGTCTGCATTGCCCTGTTTTCTCTTGGTAGAAAATTCATGTTCTGGCTCCTTTTTTAGTGCCCCTCTTCTTTGGAGGAAGAATTTCTAAAGGCACACATTCTTGAACTAAAAAGAAATGATGATGTATATTAGGTTTGCCTTTTGGGCACATATGAAAAATGAGGTTATTCACACCTTCAGTTCTGGCATATATCCATTACCAAAAATGTATTTCCAGAATATTCTCCCTGTTCCATAGTAAAGTCACAGAGGTGGTTTGGGGTTCTTCAGCTAGGTCGTAGTGCCCAGGAACAGATCAGATCAGAATCAGTATGTTGTTTATGATACAGATCAAATTAACTAATGATTCTTCCAGTTTTCTTCTTCCTGATTATTTCCTCCAGACACAAAATAGGGTCAAGGAGAAAAGTTCTTTTCTACCATTAAACTTTTGAGCTGCCTGTGTTTGGGATTCAAAGTATTTTGGGTGCTTATTGCTTAACTGGGCTGAAGATTATCTCATGTGACACCATAGATCTCTTGTTTTGGAATTGCCATTACTTTCTAGAACAGGCATTCTGTACAGCTGCCAACATGCCCTGAATCCTCTTGCTTCATATTACAGTGATACTGCTTTGTCAGGGTAGAATTCAGCCTCACAGGGCTGGAGTAAGTCTCTGCTGACCTCATGCCACAGTACAACATGTTCAAATCTGGGAGAAACCTGAGGGTTATTCGGCATATTCCTCCTCCTCCTCTCTCACAAGCATGGAGCCCTCACTCTCCTCGGAAACCGTATGTTGTATATGTGTGTGTATCTGTCTTTTAAAAAAAAAAAAAAAAAAATCTCATCCTGAATCCTATAGTTAGTTAGTCCTGCAGCTTTAAGTGGGGGCTGGTTGAATAGACAGACAAAGGAAATAGCCTGAGCTGCTGAAACTTAGCGTTTTTCAGCAGTAGATCTCAGCCAGGGGCATTTGCTATTTTAGGACTGACTTGTGTAAGGTTGTAATAATGGAGAAGCATAATATGTGTTTCCTAGTTGTTCATTTTACCCAAAGCTATTTGGACAGAATGTAGAGGGTGCTCTGTAGCTGTATGGACATGCTCAGATCATCCTGGAGTGTCCCGTCTCTTGTGTGTAATGGGCTGCTTCATTGCAGAGTAAGTGTCATCCTCACTTTCTCAAGCGAAATAGTTACTGGAAAATCAGTGTTTCTTTCAATGAACAAGAGTTTCATTTGCCTTGGACTGCTTGGGAAAAACATGGGTTAAATTCGAAGATGCCAGGCATGCATAACAAATAGGAATTTGATTTAGAGCCACCTGGAATACTTATTAAATTAAAAAAAAAAAATTCTTGATGGATCTAGGTGGCCAAAAAAAAAAAAAAAAAAAGAAAAAGATTTCTTAGTGCTCAGCTACTTATTTTCAAAGTATTTTTCCCAAGGACTTGGAAATTTTCTGAATTGTAAAGCAATATACACATATCTCAGTGTGAAACTTGTATCTCCAGATCAGCAGAACAAATCTCTGAGATAAAACTGGATTGGAGGATGATCCAGCTTTATTCAACACAACCACCATTTTCACATTTCATCCATAGTCCTGAGTACAAACTTAGCCTATAGTTTGATTTTACCATTTTTTTTAGTTGACCTTGCCATTTTTTAGTTGATCTTATAAATGATACATATTTTCTAAGAGATAAATACTAAAGCAAAGGAGATTCTTTATAGTTTTGCCTGATTCTGAAGTTAATGTACATTCATATTGTTTGCTATTGAGCAGTTGGATTTAAGATCCAAACAGATTTTTCACTGTGAAGTTTGATATTGAATTACCCTCTTATGCCTTATGGTTGATAATTTAAATGCCAACTTTTTAAGCAGATTTGTGCCTCTGGTCTGTACCCTCTTTTTCTGTTGTTTGCTATATATCTTGGATTCAAAACCCCTGACACATCTCTGTTTGTTCTGAGGTTATAAAAGGTCAGTTTACTTATCTATTTTATTAAGAATGCTAGCCCAGGGTGAGTGGGGTGATCAGAAGGAAAGGATTCATAGGAGAGCCCTAAAGGAATAGTGGGTGGAGACTAACAGTAAAAGAGAAGTTAACTCCTTTTTTTCCATTATTGATAGTCAGGTGGGGGAGGGCATAAAACATAATTTAAATATTTTTAATTGATTTTATTTGCTGATTGCATTAACTTATAAGAGTAGAGACAGTATGATCAAAACAATATAGTTAGTACCTGAGTGAGTGAGTGTAGATTAAACCAGCAGTCCCCAACCTTTTTGGCACCAGGGACCGGTTTTGTGGAAGACAATTTTTCCACAGATGGGGTCGGGGTGTCTGTGGGCAAGGTTGGAGTGGGATGGTTTGGGGATGAAACTGTTCACCTCAGGTCATCAGGCATTAGTTAGATTATCATAAGGAGCATGCAACCTAGATCCCTCGCAAGCGCAGTTCATAATAGGGTTTGTGCTCCTATGAGAAGCTGATGCCACCACTGATCTGACAGGAGGTGGAGCTCAGGTGGTAATACTCGCTTGCTGCTCACCTCCTACTGTGTGGCCTGGTTCCTAACAGGCCACTGACCTGTACTGGTCTGCGGCCCAGGGGTTGGGGATCCCTGGATTAAACTATTTCCTTGCTTCCCTACCTTTGTCTCTCTCTTACCTGAACTATTTATTGATTGGTAAACTAAAATATTCTCATTGAAACAATGATTAAAATGTTCACAAATGAGGTACTTGCCCCTAGTATCTAAAACTTTTAATATAACAATCTAGATACATAAAACTGCTATAGATAGGGTTTCATATATGACCTCCTTGCATGAGATTGCACACGCTTTGTGTTTTTTGTTTGTTTGTTTTTGAGACGGAGTCTCGCTCTGTCGCCCAGGCTGGAGTGCAGTGGCGCCATCTCGGCTCACTGCAAGCTCTGCCTCCTGGGTTCACGCGATTCTCCTGCCTCAGCCTCACGAGTAGCTGGGACTACAGGTGCCTGCCACCACGCCCAGCTAATTTTTTTTTTTTTTTTTTTTTTGTATTTTTAGTAGAGTTGGGGTTTCACGGTGTTAGCCAGGATAGTCCCAATCTCCTGACCTCGTGATCTGCCTGCCTCGGCCTCCCAAAGTGCTGGGATTATAGACATGAGCCACTACACCCGGCCTGCACATGCTTTGTGAAGAGTTCATTCCAAATTACAGAATGAACATTTTGAAGGCAGGATTTGAGAAGAAAAAATGTAGCTGACTCTGTGGTCCCAGCTACTTGGAAGGCTGAAATGGGAGGATCACTTGAATCCCGGGGCAGGGTAGGGCAGTGGAGGTTGCAGTGAGCTAAATTACCACTGCGCTCCAGCCTGGGTGACAGAGCAAGATCCTTTCTCAAAATAAATAAATACAATAAAGCAGGGTAAGAGGAATTGGAAGTGCTGGACATTGAGGGTAGACTGCCATTTTTAATAGAACAGTAAGCATAAGCTTCATTTAAAACAAGACATTTGAAGGAAGGCTTGAAAGAGGAGAGCAGGTTAGCCGTTCAGCTGAGGAATGAGCATTCCAGGCAGGGGTACAGCCAGAATAACTGCAGGAGTTTTCACAGTGTTTACAAGGAATTAAAAAGAGGTTAGTTGGTATGATTAGAGCAATAATTAAGAGAGGGAAGAGTGGCAGGAATTGGGAGTGTGAGAGATTTAATACAGTGTATCAGTTATCTATTGCTGTGTAACACCCCACCTTAAAACTTAGTGGCTTAGCCAGGCACAGTGGCTTGCACCTGTAATCCCAGGTACTCAGGAGGCTGAGGCAAGAGGATCACTTGAGGTCAGGAGTTCAAGACCAGCGTGAGCAACATAGTGAGAGCTTGTCTTTAAAAAAAATAAAAATTAGCCAGGCATGGTGGTGTGTGCCTGTAGTCCCAGCTACTCAGGAGGTTGAGGTGAGAGAATCGCTTGAGCCCAGGAGTTTGGGACTGCAGTGAGCTATGATCAGGCTACTGCACTGCAGCCTGGGTGACAGAGTGAGACTGTCTTAAAAAAATAATAAAAATATTAGCTTAATATAACTGTTTTATTTGCTCACAATTTTGAGTCAGCCATTTGGGCTGGGCTCCACTAGGTGGTTCTTAGGCTGGTCTTGCCTCGTGTCATTATAGTTGTTGGGGGGCTCAGGTGGACCTAGATGGTCTAAGATGGCCTCCCTTCCTCATGTGTCTGGTAGTAGGTACTGGCTGTTGGCTGGACCTCTCAAGGTTTTATTTTATTTTTTCTTTTTAACACTCATCCACGTAGACAACCTACAAGGATTTTAGCCTGAATAGCTATTATAAGGATGAGGTTGTCAATAACTGAGATGTAAAGTGTGCTGGAGATCTCAGTGCAACAAGAAAGGACAGACTCCAATGCACAAATACTTTTTAAGCCTCTGCTTGTGTCACATTTGCTAACATTTCACTGTTCATGTCACATTTGCTGACACTTCACTTGGCCAAAGCAAGACCATGACCAAACCCAGTTTCACTGGATGGAGAAATACATTCCATCTCTTTTTTTTTTTTTTTTTTTTTGAGACAGGGTCTTACTCTGTTGCCCAGGCTAGAGTGCACTGGCACAAACACAGGTCACTGCAGCCTGGATCTCCTGGGCTCAAGCCATCCTCCTGGCTCAGCCTCCTGAGTAGCTGGGACCACAAAAATGTGCCACCACGCTTTGCTAATTTATTTCTTTTTTGTAGAGGTAGGGTCTCACCATGTTGCTGAGGCTTGGTCTCAAACTCCTGGGCTCAAGTGATCCTCCTGCCTTTTGGCCTCCCAAAATGTTGAGATTACAGGCATGAGACACCGTGCCTGGCCAGAAGCCACCTCTTGACAGGAGTGGGAAATCCAAATTATAAAGGGAAGGGTATACGAGATTGGATGAATGTGGCTATTAATCTACCATAAAGAAGGCCAAATCAGATGTGCCTTTGAAGGCCATTTGAGTGTAAAGGAAATTGAGTGGATAAAACATACTCAGTTTCTCCCACTATCCTCTCAACAACACAATTCTGATGCCAGGTCTGTGGAGATTTCTTCCCACCAGCAAGCAATTCTGCAGCAGACACCAGCTGGGTATCCTTTAATTCAATTCAATTCTGACTCTGTCTACCTGGAGATAGTATTAGATTACACTAGTTGAGGACTGGGTCCCACAAGACTGCATCCCATTTCCAATGCCCATTGAAAGCCCCAGGTTATTTTGCTTGTGCTTCTGACCAACTGGCTGTAAATTGGGGTTTCCACAGCCCCCTCCTTGGATTCAGTTAATTTGCTAGAGTGGCTTACAGAATTCAAGAAAACGTGTATACTGGCCTATTATAAAGGATGCAGATGAAAAGATGCATAGGCAAGGCATATGGGAAGGGATGCAGTGCTTCCATTAAGCCCCCACCCTCCAGGAAACTCCACATGTTCAGCTATCCAGAAGCTCCCTAACCCTGTCCTTTTGGGTTTTTATGGAAACTTCATTATGTGGGTGTGATTGATTAAATTGCTTGCCATTGGTGATCATTTAACCTTCACTCTCCTTCCTTTACCCTCCCAGAGGTTGGGGGGTGGGGCTGAAATGCCAATTCTCTAATTATGCCTTGGTCTTTCTGATGACCAGCCTCACCCTGAAGCTGCCAACCATCAGCCGTCTTATTAGCATACAAAAAGACACATCACTTTGGAGATTCCAAGGATTTTAGTAGTTGTATGCCAGGAAAAGGAGAAGACGACCAAATACAGTTAACTCTTGATCAAAGTGGGGATTAGGGGTGCTGGACCCTCACACACAATCAAAGATCCGTGTATAACTTCTGACTCCCCCAAAGCTTAACTAACAGTCTATTGCTGACCAGAGCCTTATCAATAACATAAACTGTTAACACATATTTTATATATTATATGTATTATATACTCTATTCTTACAATACAGTAAGCTAGAGAAAATAAAATGTTAAGAAAATCATAAGGAAAATGTTATTTTAATTTTAAAATGTTACTAAAATCATAAGGAAGAGAAAATACATTTACAGTACTGTATTTACATATGTTTACAAGACAAATCATCTGTATGAAATGGCAGGCAACCGCAGCAGCAGACCTTAACCTATGGTACATATCAAGCAATCAACTTTTTCTTGTAATGTCATGACATTTTCTCTGCTTCTTGGGAGCACTTCAGTGTCACTAGTCTCACTTCTTACGCATCTCATGGTATTATTCGAGGTTTACAGTATTGTACTAAACACAGTGAAAAATAATAGAGAAGTCTCAAGAGATCGCTTTTTACTGAGATATGCAGTTTACTGGAGAGAGGAACTGGTCACTCAGGTGATTAGTGTCACATGCACTTTAAGTGGATACTTGCAATACTTCACTCACTGCTAGCAACTGGAGGTGGCTGTGAAAATTGTACAGTAGCACAGTATATACTACAGTTAATTTTATGCAGTTTATGCAGTTACGATTTAATACTGCATCTTTGTTTACATTTCTCTTGACTGCAAATGGCACCATGTAAGTGTTTGTATAAATTTTGATAGAATTAACTTCAGATTTGTACATACTTTATGGTGTTAAATGATAAAATAAACTTAGTGTCTGCATATGTTTTATGCATTCATTCACGAATCTTAATTTTTTGGTATTCCTAGGTTATGCAATTTGCCATTTTTTCCCAAATTGTTTCAAATCTCCAAAATATTTTCCAATATATTGGAAAAAATATGCATATAAGTGGATCCATGTAGTTCAGACCTTTGTTGTTCAAGGGTCAACTATGTATTTCATAGTATCACAGGAATTCATTGAAGAATTTTAAGCAGAGGACTGATGTGATTTGACTTAGGTTTTTAAAGGATCATTCTGGTTGTAGTATTAAGAACAGATATGTGGGCAAGATAGACCAGTTGGGAAATCATTTTAGTAACTCAGACAATATATGATCATGGTTCAGACTAAAGTACAAGTGAAGATTATAAGATGTAGTTGGATTTTAGATGTATTTTGAAGGCGATGCTAACAGAATTTTCTGGCAGGTTGGATGTAAGGTATGAAAGAAATCAGTAACTATGAGGATTTTAACCTAAACAGCTGGAAGAATAGATTTGTCATTAACTGAGATGTAAATGCTGCTGGAGGGCAGGTTTTGTGGGAAAGTGCTGGAGTTCAGTTTCAGGTGTCCATCAGCCATCTAAGTGGGAATGTTGAATAGGTAAGTGACATTTTTGAGTCTAGAGACTCTTAGAGTCATAGGATACTAAGGAGAAAGTTCTAGGCAGAAAATGTAATTAGGGAGAAGAAGAAAAGGAAGAAGATTGACCTATGAGAGAAGAGGAAAATCTAGAGAGGATGGTGTACTGGAAAACCAAGTATGGAAATTCTTCATAGGAGAAAGGAAACATCAAGTATGTCAAATGCTGCAGATAGGTCAATAAGAAGAGGACTAAGAACTTCTCTTTGGATTTAGTAATTTGGAGATGATTGGTCACCTCAACAGAAACTTTTTAGTAGACCGATGAGATAAAAGCCAGTTGAGTGGGTTTGTGAATGGGAAGAAAATAATTTGTAGACAGTGAGTTTGAATAATCTTTATGAGTTACACTGCAGTAGGAAGAAGTAACTGGGGAAGTAACTGGTGAAGGGAATGGAGTCAAGAAGTTTATTTAAGACAGGAGAAATAAGATTTACATGCTGAAGGGGAAAATTCATTAGAAAAAATTTGTCAGTTTCTTATTTAATAAATAGCATTTGTTATGTGCCAGCACTATTCGAAATGTCACTGAAACACAGACTCAGCCACTCACCACTTGTAGAGTCCGATAACAATAGTGAGGTCTGGTATAAAGAGAGTGACTTTTTATTCCAAAGCTAGCTTTGGGGAAGAAATACAGGCCTCCTGCCTTAAGGGTACCACTTCAGCTTTGGAGCAGAAAGCAGCTGCTTTTAAAAGGGAGCTTGGCATGAATGGCACGCAGTGGAGAAAGCAAACAGGTGAGGGTGCTTTATCTGCCGGGCAGTTGAGGTGGCAATCACTGGCACCTTCATGGGCAGAACTAGGTTGTAAAAGTGGCTGAGGCCAGGCACAGTGGCTCATGCCTGTAATCCCAGCACTTTGGGAGGCCGAGGCGGGCAGATCACCTGAGGTAGGGAGTTTGAGACCAGCCTGACCAACATGGAGAAACCCTGTCTCTACTAAAAGTACAAAAAAAAAAAAAAAAAAATTAGCTGGGTGTGGTGGCAGGCACCTGTAGTCCCAGCTACTCGGGAGGCTGAGGCAGGAGAATGGCGTGAACCTGGGAGACAGAGCTTGCAGTGAGCTGAGATCGCGCCACTGCACTCCAGCCTGAGTGACAGAGCGAGACTCCAACTCAAAAAAAAAAAAAAAAAAAAAAATTTGCCAGGTGTAGTGGTTCATGCTTATAATCCCAGCTACTCAGGAGGCTGAGGCAGGAGACTCGCTTGAACCCGGGAGGCAGAGGTTACAGTTAGCCGAGATTGTGCCATTGCACTCCAACCTGGGCAACAAAAGCTAAACTCCATCTCAAAAAAAAAAAAACAAAGAAAAAAGAAAAAAAGTGGCTGAAACTCTCCAGGTCAGAGAGAGTTTCATTGCCAGTGTCCTTTTTGTTGTAAATAGACTGTTGTCTCTCGAGGCAGTCTCCTGGTGGGAGAGTTCCACTCTGGAGCTTCTAAGCACATGTCTGGTGAAGGGGAGGTAGCAGGTTATAATTGCATTTCTAAAGAGCTAAGTAGGAAGTGGGGTATAGGGGAAAAGGAGGAATGAGAAGAGAGAAAAAATAATTTAAAAATAACTCATTCTGTCTCTTAGATGGAGGTACTCAGTTACAGAAACACTTTATAAATATAAACTCATTTAATATAATAAGAATGAAACAGTGACTGGCCACTCAATATAAAGTAATATGGTGGGTGCTGTAAGGAGTTCAAGAATGTATAAGATATAAGACACAGTCTCAGACTTAAGCACTCACAATGTCAAGTAAAAAATATATATATACCATAAAAATTAGAAAGTTTAGAAGTACAGAGAACTAGAAGGAGATTACTTTTAACAGGAAAATAAGGAATGTCAATATAAAGGTAGGCTTACTTGGACTTAAATTTATGTACGTTTCACTTCAAGCACAGAGCAGATAGAGAGTGTTTGTTTGTTTGTTTGTTTGAGATGGAGTCTCTGTTGCCCAGGCTAGAGTGCAATGGCACAACTTCTGCCTCCCAGGTTCAAGCGATTCTCCTGCCTCAGCCTCCCAAGTAGCTGGGACTGCAGGTGCACAACACCACACCCAGCCAGTGTTTTTTGTATTTTTAGTAGAGACAGGGTTTTGCCATGTTGACCAGGCTGGTCGTGAACACCTGACCTCATGATTCCCCTGCCTCGGCCTCCCAAAGTGCTGGGATTACAGGCGTGAGCCACCGCGCCTGGCCAGAGAGTGCATTTTAAGGTAGGATGGGGACAGGGTTGGATATAGAAAGGAAAACATTTGTCTTCAGAAAAGACAAAGAACTTCAGAGATACTTTCTCTGTTACTGTAATTGTCATCTTCATGTTTGTAGTCCTAGCTCCTGTGTAAGAGTGAGAAAAAAAAGGAAGAGTGGGAGGGTGGGTGTGTATGTGTTAACTGTATGTGTGCATCTTCAATACCTAAAATACAGGGAGTCCTCTACTGGGCAGATATACTTAGGACCCTATCTCTGATTTAAAATCAGTTTGCTGAGCCATCCAGTATTATTTTTCAGATAAGTAAAATGGAAAATTTTGAGCTCTGTAAGCCCAGGAAATAGGATTACAGTGTGCCCTTTAATTCTCATTTCCTCTTAATGAAATGTGAACTGGTTGTTTGAAGTCTAAGGATATGTGGAGAATACAGACTGTTTAGATTGATAGATGGGTGGAAGAATGTATTTTATGTTCAGTGGAAACTTGTGAAGAAAAGTTTATAGGGAATCATTTCTAAGGAGTGTAGAAGCCTAATTAAAGTTGGCTTTTTTATCCCCATTGGTGCCTCATGCACATTATCTGTTTGAAAAATCTAGGTATCTTTTTAATTATACCCTGATTGCAACTTCAAGGAAAAGATCTTTTCTGGGCTCCAAAAGTTCTAACAGAAAAGGGAATATGTGTGGGTTGTTACATATGTATGTATGGTTGTCATATTATATACCAAATGGGCCTACCTTTATATTGGCATTCCTTATTGTCCAGTTAAAAGTTCGAGTTTCCAGGTGGTCAAGTTTACCCATAATCAAAAAAATACAAATGATAAGTGAAAATATGATCTCATTTTAATTATCAGATTAATCAAAATACAAAAGTTTGATACCTGGAGCTGGCACAGTCATTCACCTACACTGTTGGCAGTAGTGTAAATTGCTGCAGTCTTTCAGGAAAGCAATGTGTAATCTCTATCAAAGTGCAAAATATATACACTGATAAACTGCTAGGAATTTACACTATCAGTCTACCCAAAGAAGTTCACCAAGATACATACAAATATGTTTGTAATTTTAAAATGGAAAGAATTTGTTTTCATGCCCAGTTGAAGTTTAATGACAAATATCTTTGACGTTCCCTCACCCCCTCCCCAAAGGTGATGTCGCTTTCTTCCTTATTGAAGAACTGTATCCCATATTGTCCTATTTTACAATTATCAGTTGGGTTTACAGTAAGTTTTTTTTTCCCTAGAAACAGGGGCTTTTCATTTATTCTGTTAATAGTTGTCACTAGAGATGAGGTGTTCAGAATGAAAGATCGAGTATTCTGAGATGATTCTCACACAAGAGCTATTAGGAACATAATGGGCAACAGTAGGAATCTGTTAATTAAAAACAAATCTTTAAGAAGTAAGGACTGTTAAGAATTAGTATGTGAGAATGAAATGGGGGAAGTAGGTGGTCTAGAAGAAGCTTATTGTAACTGCATCTTGAGATAATTCTTTTAATTTCTAGAAACTCCATTTTCTTTTCCTTTTTTTTTTCTTTTTTTTTTTTTTGAGATGGGGGTCTCACTGTGTTGTCAGTGGCTATTTAAAGGCACAATCATAGTTCATTACAGCCTTGAACTCCTGGGCTCAAGCTGTTCTCCTCCAGCCTTCCAAGTATCTGGGATTACAGGATTGTGCTATTGTGCTTCCATTTTCATCTTTGAAGAATAGAACCAGGTCACAGAATTTGAGAGAGCAGCAGAGGAAGACAACTTTTATTACATATTTCCTAAACGAATGCTGCCTTTCCATTTTATATCATTGCATTTACATTTATCATTTATATGTTTTATCATACATATTTTACCAAATGTCATAGGTTATTTAATGAAACAGTTCCAGTTTTTGCCTGTTAATCTTCTGTTTTCTCTAGTGCAAGAGGTGGCAAATTGCTGGCATCATTTGACTCAATACTGTTATCCACTAAATTAATTATATGCCAGATTACCTACGAGTTTTAGAGTTGGATGGAGGAAAAAAGCCCAGGCTAAAGTGCAGTGGCATGATCACTGCTCACTACAGCCTCCTTCTCCTGAGTTCAAGCCATCCTCCCACCTTGGCCTCCTGAGGAGCTGGGACTGCAGGTGTGCACCGCTACAACTAGCAATTTTTTTTATTTTTTGTAGAGTCAGGGTCTCACTATGTTGCCCAGTCTGCTCTCGAACTCCTGGGCTCAAGCAATCCTCCCGCCTTGGCACCCCAAAGTGCTGGGATTACTGGTGTGAGCCACCACGCCCAGCCTTCAGTTGTCTCTTAAATGAAGATTCATATTGGAGAGAGTTGAACCTCGAGAGGCTCTAGTTTCAGTCCTACACAATTAGATATGTTCAGTTAACCTACCAGAGGTTTTATTTCTCATCTATAAAACAAGAATGTTTTGCTTGAGATAACCTCTCAAGATTTTTAGATTTCACAATACTCAGATGATACCCATACAGACATATAAAGATTGGTTTTAAAAATAAAATGGCCAGGCGTGGTGGCTCACACCTGTAACCCCAGCATTTTGAGAGGCTAAGGTGGGAGGATCACTTGAGCCCAGGGGTTCAAGACCAGCCTGGGCCACAGAGTGAGTCTCTGTCTCTACAAAAAAAAAATTTTTTTAATTAGCTGGGCATGGTAGTATGTGCCTGTAGTTCCAGCTCCTCGGGAGGCTGAGGTGGGAGGATTGCTTGAGCCCAGAGGGTCGAAGCTGCAATGAGTGGTGATTGTGCCACTGCACTTCAGCCTGGGCAACAAACCAAGACCCTGTCTCAAAAATAATAATAAAATAATGTTTTCTTTCAGAAAGAGACTTGCGTCTTTAACTCCTCATGCATTACTCATTTGTAGTCAGTTATATTTGATTTTAAAAGCAATTTCTTATCTGATTATAATTCATAAATTACAAACTACAGACAGTAAATGAGGGATTTTGCATAAACTGGAACAGCTCATGTATTGCAAAATCTAAATTTAAACAAAAGCCTTATAACTTTGGGTAGAGTGATTATTTGTTTTCAAATGCATTCGATCTAGGATTTCTTTATTTATTTGTTTATTTTGAGAAAGAGTCTCGCTCTGTTGCACAGCCTGGAGTGCAGTGGTGTGATCTTGACTCACTGCATCCTTCACCTCCCGGGTTCAAGTGATTCTCCTGCCTCAGCCTCCTGAGTAGCTGGGATTACAGGTGTCTGCCACCATCCCTGGCTAATTTTTTTTTTTTTTTTTTTTTTTTTTGAGACAGAGTCTCACTCTGTCGCCCAGGCTGGAATGCAGTGGCACCATCTCGGCTCACTACAACCTCTGCCTCCTGGATTCAAGCGATTCTCCTGCCTCAGCCTCCTTAGTAGCTGGGATTATAGATGTGTGCCACCATGCCCAGCTGATTTTTGTATTTTTTTTTTTTTTTTTTAGTAGAGACGGGGTTTCACCATGTTGGTCAGGCTGGTCTCGAACTCCTGACCTCGTGATCCGCCCGCCTCACCCTCCCAAAGTGCTGGGATTACAGGTGTGAGCCACCGCACCTGGCCTAATTTTTTATTATTATTATCTTATTAGTAGAGTTAGGGTTTCATCATGTTGGCCAGGCTGGTCTCAAACTCCTGACCTGAAGTAATCCACCCACCTCGGCCTTCCAAAGTGTTGGGATTACAGGCGTGAGCCACTGCACGTGGCCTAGGATTTCTTTAAATGACTATTTTCAAGTCCAATGTAATAAGTATTATTTCATATGTAAGTTATTAATTTGCATATTATTTTACAGAAACAAAATCTTCCTTAAGTGGGAGTAGCATATCTTATTACATGATATTAATCTCTGGTTGTACTAATTAGTAAGTTGTAATATGAAATTAATAAAAATTTATAGTGAAATTGGTGTTACCATATGATGTATATGTATACTTTTAAATGATGATGTTCACATAGACTGTATCTGTCAAAACTGATTATTTTCTTACAGACATGAGAATTAAATAAACTTTGGACATAGACTGAATGCTTATTAAGCGGCAAGTGATTCTGGAGTGCATCAGTCTGCATTCATGAAACTAAGCATGGATATAAAATTGAACATGGCTTGGTGCAGTGGCTCACACCTGTAATCCTAGTACTTTGGGAGGCTGAGGCGGGCGGATCACCTGAGGTGAGGAGTTCAAGACCAGCCTGGCCAACATGGTAAAACGTTGTCTCTACTAAAAATACAAAAATTAGCCGGGCATGGTGGCAGGCGCCTGTAATCCCAGCTACTCTGGAGGCTGAGGCAGGAGAATCGCTTGAACTGGGAGGCGGAGGTTGCAGTGAGCTGAGATTGTGCCACTGCACTCCAGCCTGGGCAACAGAGCGAGACTCCATCTCAAGAAAATAAAATAAAATGGAACATGGCTGAGAATATAGATTTCTTGAAATTTTGGTGGGAGAAAGACTTGGGCCACAAATATCCTGGACTTAGTGTCTTTTACAGAGAGAGTTTCCCATTAGATTCAATATCTTCTTTCTGTAGTTGCTGACCTGTATATAATTGCTGCCTCTGTAAAGCCTGTTACTTTTAAGTAGAGTTGTTTTTTGCGTTTAGCATAAATAGGCTGAGAGTTGTTACTGTTGACTGACCACTTAGGATTGGCCATGGGAGAAGACATAGTATAGTCATAAAAACCGTGAACTTGGATTTAGAATATCTGAGCTCCAGATTTAGCTTAACTTCTCACTAGTCCTCAGTCTTTAAAGAATTCCAACTTCTCATGAGCCTCACTTTCCTCGTATTTAAAATGGAATGATAGCTGGGCACACTTGCTTGCACCTGTAGTCCCAGGTACTTGGGAGTCCGAGGCAGAATCACTTGAGCCCAGGAGTTCAAGACTAGCCTGGCCAACATAATGAGACCGTCCCTATTCCCCCATCTCAAAAAACTTAAAAATTTGGAAAAATAAAATGGAATAATTGCTGCCTTACAAACCTCACAAGATAGTTCAAAAGCAGAGACCTTTAACCTGGAAGCAGATCTTTTTAGTACTTACACAGTTTTTGTTTGTTTGTTTGTTTGTTTGTTTGTTTTGAGATGGAATCTCGCTCTGTCGCCCAGGCTGGAAAGCAGTGGCGCGATCTCAGCCCACCACAACCTCCACCTCCCGGGTTCAAGAGATTCTCCTGCCTCAGCCTCCCGAGTAGCTGGGACTACAGGCACATGCCACCATGCCCAGCTAATTTTTTGTATTTTTAGTAGAGACGGAGTTTCACCATGTTAGCCAGGATGGTCTCCATTTCCTGACCTTGTGATCTGCCTGCCTCAGCCCCCCAAAGTGCTGGGATTACAGGTGTGAGCCACCGCGCCTGGCTACTGACACAGTTTTTTAATATCCACTGGGAATTTTGGTCACCATGAAAGCCTATTGCTAGATAGACATCGTCCTCAATTCTGACTCTCTGCCATTATCAGTGTGCATTATTGTTCTTATGCTGCTTTGTCCTCCCACTTGAGAGTGTCAGTCTTCTGAGGATAAAGAGCCTGAAGCCCAAAAATACAAGCAGAAGTCAGTATGTATTCGTTGACACTTCAGATGGTATCTAAACAGAATGTTCTTCATTTCTAGTTATTTTTATTTTACCTACCTAGTATAGATTTATGGTGTAAAATAAATTTTTATTGTGTAGCAACAAAAAACTTGGACCTCAGGATCATGGACTAACCAGAGAAAAGTAAATGGTGTTAGCCTTGATGATTTAAAGTTTCTCTCTCTCTCTCTTTTTTTTTTTTTTTTTTTTTTTTGAGGCAAGTCTCGCTCTGTCGCTCAGGCTGGAGTACAGTGGCACAATCTCAGCTCACCACAGCCTGGGCCTCCTGGGCTCAGGTGATCCTCCCACCTCAGCCTCCCAAGTAGGTGGGACTGTAGGCATACAAGCCCACCATGCCATGCCCAGCTATTTTTTTTCTTTAAGTTTTTGTAGAGATGGGGTCTCACCATGTTGCCCAGGCTAGTCTCAAACTCCTGGGCTCAAGCATTCTGCCCACCTC
This sequence comes from Homo sapiens, assembly GCF_000001405.40. Taxonomy (NCBI): domain Eukaryota; kingdom Metazoa; phylum Chordata; class Mammalia; order Primates; family Hominidae; genus Homo; species Homo sapiens. Next base: position 129,709,228 of record NC_000003.12, on the reverse strand, counting down.
AGCCTTCCAAAGTGCTAGGATTGCAGGCATGAGCCACTACACCGGACAATCTAAAGTTTATTAAAACATCACGAGTCTTATGGTAAAACTGTAATGCTCAAGTTTAGTTATTTAATCTTAAAATTAGATATGCAAAGGTATTTTCTGAGTACTCTTAATTATTTGAAAAATAGACAAATTTCAGCCTCCTTAGCATTTAGTTATTACCAGTAAAGACCAGTGGTTAAGAGTACATAAATAAGTACTTTATTATAAAAGAAGCCCTAATTACTAGGATATTAAACAGATTTTCTAAATTTAAATTATCCGAGATTAAACCCATTTCCTTTTTTGATAGGATTACTGTAGTAGTAGGTTAGAGATGCTCTGAAGACATAGGGTATGCCGGATTTCAGCAGTCATTTAACAGAGACTTTTGTGATATCTTTGGGGGAAAGTAATAAGTGATTATTTGTAACTGAATAAGTGAATGAATGAGTGAAGATTACTAATTTAGATAAATGTCAGCCTGGAACAAGGTCTCTAATGGCTTGCTTCAGGATACTCCCTGTCCAGTTCAACCTCTTCATTAATTCCTGGGCTAAAAATATTGACATGCTTAGTCAGTTGAAGATGTCAAACAGCTGAAAAGAATAATTAAAATTTTGAGCAACAGAGTTGGAATCTAGATAAATGAAAAGCAGAGGTCATCACATTATGTGATTCAGCTGTACCACATTTATGTGATTTATGGAAAGGGCAATTATTTTTAACAGTTTTCAGTTAAAGAAAAAGCAAACAGGATGCAAACTACATGCAACTAGGTTCACTAGCAAATCTGAGTTAGATACAAAAAAATCTTAGATTTTAATCTAAATCAGACAAAGCTCTTGTTACATTGCAGTACATTTTAAGAATTAGGATGTCTTAGGCATTCTTTGAAATTAAAATTCAAGGAAGGAAGCATTAATATTACCCTATATTAGAATATTATATCAGAAATGTTAATATAATTACAACATAAAACACCCCAAGAGGAAACAAAGCTCCTAATAGTTGGAAAGAATGAATGAAATTCCTGATAATATCCCAATGTTTGTTTTGTTTATAAAAAGATACTAAAGAACATTTGTTATCAATTAATCATGAATAGTTTTGTCTTACTAAAATTTTCCTCTCAACGTGCAAGACAAAGCACTAAATTACTAGTAATTTTAATTAGGACTTTTTTTTTCTCATCCTCTACCTTAGTGCTTTACAAATTCTATAATATCCTGTAAAGCTTTAGCAGTCGTCTCAATTTTAACTTTTTTTTTTTTGAGACTGAGTCTTGCTCTGTCGCCAGGCTGGAGTGCAGTGGTGTGATCTCGGCTCGCTGCAACCTCCGTCTCCTGGGTTCAAGCAGTTCTCCTGCCTCAGCCTCCCGAGTAGCTGGGATTACAGGCACATGCCACCACGCCCAGCTAATTTTTGTATTTTTAGTAGAGACGGGGTTTCACCGTGTTAGCCAGGATGGTCTCGATCTCCTGACCTCACGATCCGCCCGCCTCGGCCTCCCAAAGTGCTGGGATTACAGGCGTGAGCCACCACGTCTGACCAATTTTAACTTTAAAATGTTTGCAATAAAATTTTAATCAAATTATAAGAAAGTAAAAGTAATTTTGTTGGAATATATTAATGGAAAGATGGACAATGTTTATTTCCCAAGTGACTGCCAAAGTCAGTAGCAAACTAAAGACTATTCCATGTTGATTTTCTAAATAATGGCTTGAAAACAGAGGTCTTCCACATTTATTGCTTCTTAGTCGTATGTGATAAATTTGTCTCCTAATTTTAATTTTGAATGATTTTTCCCCTTTGACATTTCTAATAAATTTAACCATGGGTAGACCATCTTTTAAGGTCCCTTTCAATTCTCATTTGGGATTTTGAATTTTTTAAATATATCTCCACTTTTTAATATAAGCATGTATTTGAGGTGATATGATTTATGCTTTTATTTCTTACTCATCCAACAGATATTTATTGAGCCCATACTGTCCACCTATTACTGGAGAACTAGAAGTGAATATAGGGCCATGAGCTCCCTGAAGGAGTTCACTGTCTAGTAGGGGAGCTGAGATGTAAACAGATGGCAACAGTATATGAGGGGTATTTTCTCATCACCAACTTCTAAATCTGGTTTTGCCCTATTTCTACGCTGCCCAGTCATTCATATCTATCCCCCTCAAACACTGCCTTTTTTTTTTCCCCTCCAGTTAAAAATGACTTTGTCTTGCTAGGTGTGGTGTCTTGTGCCAGTAATCCCAGCCACTCAAGAGGCTGAGGCAGGAGGATTGCTTGAGCCCAGGAGTTTGAGGCTGCAGTGAGCTATGATCACACCTGTGAATAGCCATTGCACTCCAGCCTGTGCAACAGTGCAAGACCTCGTCTCTAAAAAAATAATGAAATAAATGAAATAAAAACAAGGAAATGACTTTGTCTTGTATAGACTTTAGGAAGCCTTATTTTATGAACAATTTCAATCATTGTTGACCATTAAATAGGTGGTTGAACTGTGGCTCTTGGTCCTAATTTCACTTCTAAAAGTTTAGGAGTTTCCTGTGTTAATGTATCCACTTGAATGCTAGTAGGAAGTCTGTACTCAGATGGAGTACAGAAAGCTCAGTACAGGGTTTCTTCTCTTCCTTTTTGGAGTGAGTCACTTTATTGTTATATTTTTTATTTTTTAATAAAATGTTTCAAGCCAAGTGCAGTGGCTCACACCTGTAATCCCAGCACTTTGGGAGGCTGAGGTGGGAGCATCACCTGAGGTCAAGAGTTCCAGACCAGCCTGGCCAACATGGTGAAACCCTGTCTCTACTAAAAATACAAAAATTAGCAGGGCATGGTGGTGCACGTTTGTAGTCCCAGCTACTCAGGAGGCTGAGGCAGGCGAATCACTTGAGAACCCAGGAGGCGGAGGTTGCAGTAAGCCGAGATCGCGCACTGCACTCCAATTTGGGTGACAGAGCAAGACTCCATCTCAAAAAATAAAAATAAAAAATAAAAAAGTGTTTTGGCCAGGCGCGGTGGCTCACGCCTGTATCCCAATACTTTGGGAGGCCGAGGTGGGTGGATCACTTGAGGTCAAGAGTTCAAGACCAGCCTGGCCAACATGGTGAAACCCCGTCTCTACTAAAAATGCAAAAATTAGCCAGGCATGGTGGCGCACGCTTGTAATCCCAGCTACTTGGGAGGCTGAGGCAGGAGAATCGCTTGAACCTGGGAGGCAAAGGTGGCAGTGAGCTGAGATGGTGCCACTGCACTCCAGCCTGGGTGACAGAGTGAGACTTTGTCTCAAAAAAAAAGAAAAAAAGGCCGGGCGCGGTGGCTCACACCTGTAATCCCAGCACTTTGGGAGGCTGAGGCAGGCAGATCATGAGGTCAGGAGATCGAGACCATCCTGGCTAAAATGGTGAAACCCCGTCTCTACTAAAAATACAAAAAATTAGGTGGGCGTGGTGGCGGGCGCCTGTAGTCCCAGCTACTCAAGAGGAGAATGGCGTGAACCCAGGAGGCGGAGCTTGCAGTGAGCCGAGATGGCGCCACTGCACAGCCTGGGTGACGGAGCAAGACTCCATCTCAAAAAAAAAAAAAAAAAAGTGTTTCAAATAGGTTAAGTATAAAGAAGTCAGGCCAATGAGCATGACATCTGTTGTCAAATTCTGATAAATAAAATCAAGATTTGAAGGCTTACAGGTATTCAAAGAATGAGTCATGTTTTGTGAAAACTCTTGAATCATAAAATGCAGTCAGCAGCACTTCAGATCTCCAGGAAATTATCAACTCCTCTTCCTCCCCACACTACTCCCCTGCCTCACCCCCAGACCCCTACTGGTTTTGGAAATATAAGAGAACATTATTTGTCACAAAGACTTGAGAGGAGGATGCTGGAACCCATGGATGCCATAGTGGCCAAAATGTCAAGAGTAACTGGTTAAGACCAGAGTCTCCAGGCATATTCCACCTCTCTCTGCTCTTTCCTCTCCTCCTTTTCGTTCCTCACTAGAGAGTGAGAACCCCAGCTGTATAGATATCAAGGGTAGGAATAATGCCTCTAGTACCCTGATGCCATTTGCACAGCACTCGTTTGATCCCATTCTTTTATAGCTTGGAATTTTTTTAAGTAGACATTGACATCTAAATTAGGATCTAAAGGGACATTAATTTTCTGTACTTTCTCTATTAGAATTGTCTGTTGACCCCAGTAGAAGGTATTATGTCTTCTTCCTTTTCCCCTTTGTGATTAGAATAATTACTGTCCCTGGTATATGCCTATTGTGTATACATTGAATCAGCTCAATCAAGGTCTGGGAATAAGTTGTCTTCTGGCTCCAACTTGTGACAGTGAACATCTGCTTGTGCTAATTTTCAGGTCAGTACAGATTCTTATTCAGCTGTTGTGATTAATATAAGCCTGATATGAGGTTGGAGTCCTTAAAAGCTGTTTTGGCCTCAGCAGAATTGTTCCCTTAAAAATGTTCTGCCCGGGCCGAGTGTAGTGGCTCACACCTGTAATCCAGCACTTTGGGAGGCCGAGGTGGGAGGATCACCTGAGGTCAGGAGTTCAAGACCAGCCTGGCCAACATGGTGAAACCCCATCTCTACTAAAAATACAAAAATTAGCCGGGCGTCGTGGCATGTGCCTGTAATCCCAGCTACTCAGGAGGCTGAGGCAGGAGAATCACTTGAACCTGGGAGGCGGAGGTTGCAGTGAGCTGAGATTACACCACTGCACTCCAGCCTGGGCAATAGAGTGAGACTCTGTCTCAAAAAATAAACAAATAAAAAATGCTCTTCCCATCTGATGTAGACACAAGCACTGGGCCAAAGAGCATATGAATACTGTATATGGCTTCATATTTGTCATCTTATGTTAAGTGTTGATACCAGGTTATAGAACTGTCTCTGGAAGATCCTTTTCTTTGGATCAAAATTCCAGCTTCTTTCCAATCATTCCTAAGTGACTGTTTTCCCCTTACTGCAGTTCAAAATATCTAAATTCGAAATCATAATTTTCTTTCCCAAAACAAAGCTGTTTTTCATCTTCCCTGTTTGAATTGCATCATCATTCTCTTAGGATGGAAACATAGGCCTTATCTTTCATTCATTCTTCTCCATCTCCAGTGTACAATCAACAAATCTTACTGGTTTCTCCTTCAGAAGTACTGCTAAGCCTTTTCTTTTACATTTCTTCTGCCACTACTCTACTTCTCCCTATCATGTTTTAGTAATCTCCCCTCTGGTCTCACGTCTCTTCTTTAAGCCTTTGACCTCTCAGGTTAAAACTACCAAAGAAGGCAAAATGCCTTAAAACATAATGTCTCAGGAAGAAATGAAAGGCAAGTTAATAGCAACTATGAGATCATCTAATCTACAGCAGAGTAAAATGTCTTTATCATTTTCTTTACCCTAAACTTCAGCTAATTCCCCAAATTCTCCTCCTCATTTATTCATTCACTCATTCAACAGTATTTTTAAGTATATGCTCTATACTGGTGTTAATAGCCGAATATTATTATTATTTCACTATCCTTTGGCAATTCTTCTTGTCTCTTCAGCTATCGTAGTTACGCTTTCTCTAGTTTTTCATCTCCAGCCTCAACCTTGCAAACTCAATTCCTATTTATTAGGTACTAAATCTTGATTCATTTTAAGCCCCATAAATCATACAAGTCCCACAGCTGATGACTGGCAGAGCAATGACTCAAGTCTGTCTCCTGTGCAGACTAGCACTCTCCCAACCCCATCTTACTGTACTTACTTATAAGGCCTGTTGTCTGAGCTTAATGATGTCAAACAGCAGAATACTGTAGTTGTAGTTGTATTTTAAGAGAAAAGGTATAGCAATGAGAAATTGGCCATTTGGATGCTTTTTGTTAACACATTTTAAGAAGCTTGGAAAGAGTTGGATTTCCGTAAGTAGCCAGTTAATATCTATCATATCTGTTTTCACCTTCCTATTCTTTCTTGGTTACATCTCTTCGAGTCAGATGGCTATTCTTAAACAATTTTTGGAACCACAAGCTCTATGCAATTTAGTGGAAAATTAAGTAACAAAGAATGAAGCCTTTGTATGTGGGTTTTTGTATGTGGGTTTATCCCCGCTCCCAAGCCATCTATGGCTAGTAATACTGTGAAAAGAACAAATTGAGATAAATCCTTGTGGTTTTTCTTTTATTTTGTTTTTTTGAGACAAAGTCTCGCTCTGTTGCTCAGGCTGGAGTGCAGCGATGCAATCTCGGCCCACTGCAACCTCAACCTCCCGGGTTCAAGCGATTCTCCTGCCTCAGCCTTCCAAGTAGCTGAGATTACAGGCGCACGCTATCACGCCCAGCTAATTTTTGTATTTTTAGTGGAGACGGGGTTTCACCATGTTAGCCAGGCGGGTGTCGAACTCCTGATATCCAGTGATCTACCCGCCTCAAATCCTTGTTTTTACATGGACTTGAAATAGCCCATCAAATGCCATTTTTCTTTTTTAACAATCTTCATATTTTCTGATAATATAGAAAATGTTTATTTTTCATAACTGAGACAACATACTTGGTATGTTGTTCACCTGGGATTTGGAAATGATAAAAGAGCTATCAACTAAGGATTTCAAGAAATGGTTTATGTACCTCTGACATTCATGGCATTCAGCCTGAAATAGCTCTTCACTATGGTAAACAGCATTTTTAAAAGCAACATGGTTTACCTATATATTACTTTCAAGTGGTAGTTTTCCAGCAATACAGAACTGAATTGTGATGCTTGGGGAAATTTTAATGATTTACTTTACACTTTTGAAATTTCTCAATATATATTTTTTAAGATTGAAGGTATGGCCTCACTTGGAAAATAAAACTTAAATCAACTGGTCCCCACCAGAGATTCTTTTTTTCTTTCTCATAAACCTATTATTATGAAAATGTTACAGCAACATGTATTATTTTCTCTTAAAAAAAAAAAAAAACAATTGGGGACCAGTAGTCAGTTGGCATTTCTAAACGGCACTGGTAGAATGATACCACCTGGAGAAGTTATAATTCCGGACAAAGTTACATATTATTTAAATCTGCCTATCCAACTTTATTAAAGGTAAACATACATTTTCTGTTGGGCCTTTGCAAATCCTGAAAACAATTGATTCTTTATGGACCTCAGGTTTGGAGACCACTATTCTATACTATTTCTCAGGACATTGAAAATATTATTTTATTATACCATTTTATTTTTAAAAAATTTTTTTCTATTTTTTAAAAAACAAGAATCAGGTGAATCATTTTATTTTATGAAATAAGTTTTGGTGTGCCTGTCCAGTTGCTTTGTAAGTAGTACTTGGAAATTACCTGGCCCATCTTTGAGTCTGGAGGTGGTACTACCATCATGGCTTTATATGATGTTTTGCAATTTCAAAACAGCTCTCTGCAGCACCTTTGAGTCCCCTGGGTGGTACATGATTCCATTGAGGTAGGCAGTACCTAAATAAGCAGTCTTTGTTACTTACTGTATTTCTTGGAAAGCAAGACATAATTTAGTGTCTGAAGGTCAGTGCCTGTATTCTTTCCTGAAATTTCATAATTCTGGCACTAAACAAAAGCCTCTCTTGCCCTCCTTTCTGAACTAATTGGTTCTAAGCAATGAAATAAAGTACTTGCCTTATTTATATATTCATATGACCACAGTAATTTCAAAAGATTTTAAACTTCTTTCCATTTCCTTGCTTTCTCATTTTTCCGTTCCTCCACCCACTGGCTGGTTATGGGGGTTCGCTTTTACATAAAGAGAGCTGCTGAAGTCAAACAAAATCTACCTCTTACTGAATCCCAGCAGGAGGTTAATGCAATTAGGGACTTTCTAGCTGAAGTGTGATTGCCAGGTGAGAGAGAACAGAAGAGACTTCTTGAGTAATGCACAGCCAACTGATTTGCCACATTTTATTCTTAATGCCTTCTTTGTAGATCTGTTCTCTGTTTTCAGTGACTGCGGATGTTAATTGATTATTAGATTTATCTTTTTTCCTTGACTCAACTTTTATTTTCCCATCTTTTGCCACTTTCGGAAAAACTTATTCACTCAGTCATCAGATATCAGCATCAAGAAAGCCAGTCTGTGGGAACAGATAAAATTCCCTGGCCTTTGGACAGTTTTCCCCACTGGATCCTTCATGAATAAAATAGAGTGGAAAGAGAAGTAAGGAGAGCATTAGAGCATTAAGAATTTTATCCAGAAAGTAAAGTCATATTGATGACATCTGACAGTAGAGGTAGATTTTAATGATATGAAAGCCTCTGGAACTAGTATTGGCTTTTATTAAGAACATCTTTTGTCAAGGATTTGCTTCCGAATAATGGGGGAGGGTATACCATTGTATGGGCCATGAGTTAATCAAAGCTGCTTTTCCAGTGTTTAAAATGTGGTATAATAAAGAGATTTTTTTTTTTTTTTGGCTGGGCGCAGTGGCTCACGCCTGTAATCCCAGCACTTTGAGAGGCTGAGGCAGGCAGATCACGAGGTCAGGAGTTCGAGACCAGCCTGACCAACCTGATGAAACCCCATCTCTACTAAAAGTACAAAAATTAGCCAGGCATGGTGGCGTGCACCTGCAATCCCAGCTACTCCGGAGGATGAGGCAAGAGAAGCACTTGAACCCAGGAGGTAGAGGTTGCAGTGAGCCGAGATTGCACCATTGCACTCCAGCCTGGCAACAGAGCGAGACTCCGTCTCAAAAAAAAAAGATTTTTAAAAGACATCTTTTTCCCAGAAATTTTGGAAGGGTAAAATCTATTTCCCTGTGAAATTTTCAGCATCTCCCAATATTCAACAGTGTCTAACACAGTAAAGATGACTAGTATTAGGTTTGTATTACTGAGGAAAAAATATTTTGACAGAGATGATTTTGAACTTAATAGGTTTTTTTGTCTTTTTTATTACCCAGATTTATTTAGCAATATGCCGATTTATTTAATACATTAGATTTTTTTTTTAATTTTCTTTTTAAAAAATAAAGATTAGAGACAAGGTCTCACTATGTTCCTAAGCTAGTCTGGAACTCCTGAGCTCAAGTGATCATCCTGCCTCAGCCTCCCAAAGTGCTAGGATTACAGGCATGAGCCACAGTACCCGACCATAAATTAGATTCCAATGAAATTTGTGTTCAGTTTTGTTTTTGTCTTAAGGGTATATTAAGTAAACTTCCATCAATGATGAGAAGTGTGAAAATACTCAGTGAAAAAAATAGTAATGGACAGCTCCTTTATAAAGTAATACCTAAGGTTTTTTTGTTTTGTTTCATTTATTTGTTTTAGGGACAGGATTTCACTCTGTCTCCCAGGCTGGAGTGCAGTTGCAGTCTCAACCTCCTGGGCCCAAGCTGTTTTTCTACCTTAAGCCTCCCCAAGTAGCTGAGACTACAAGGCATGCCCCACACCATACCCTGCTAATTTTTGCTGTTGTTAGTTTTGATAGAGATGGATTCTCTTTATGTTGCCCAGCCTGGTCTGGAAGTCCTGGCTTCAAGCAGTCCTCTGGTTACCCAGGAAAGGGGTCCCAATCCAGACCCCAAGAGAGGGTTCTTGCATCTTGTCAGGAAAGAGTTCAAGGCGAATCCATAAAGTGAAAGCAAGTTTATTAAGAAAGTAAAGGAATAAAAGAATAGCCGCTCCATAGACAGCAGTGGCTTGAGCTATTCAACTAAGGATATGTATTGTTACTTCTTGATTATATGTGAAACAAGGGGTGGAATACTAATGAGTTTTCTGAGAAAGGGGTGGGCAATTCCCTGAACTCAAGGTTCCTCCCACTTTTAGACCATATAGGGTAACTTCTGGACGTTGCCATGGCATTTGTAAACTGTCATGGCACTTGTGGAAGTGTCTGTTAGCATGCTAATGCATTGTAATTAGCATATAATGAACTTTTCGCTGGCGTCTTTACTGCAGCCTATTTTATCAGCAAGGTCTTGATGACCTGTATCTTGTTCTGACCTCCTATCTCATCCTGTGACTTAAAATGCCTAACTTTCTGGAAGTGCAGCCCAGTAAGTCTCAGTGTTATTTTACCCAGCCCCTATTCAAAAGCCTCTGATACTCTGCCTTGGCCTCCCAAAATGCTGCAGTTACAGACATGAGCCGTTGTGCCTGGCCTAAAAGTTTCTTTCCTTTTTTTCAAAGGAAATCTTCCATGTAATCAAATAAAATATCCCTGCTACATATCTGGATAGTTTTTTAGTTAAAGAACAGATTTTCTCAGTCTGGGTCCTAACTTGACTTTGCTACTGAAATGTTGATTTAATTCTCACCTTCTTCTATATTGTCAAGTTGATTGCTTATATTAAAATAAAGCAGGGATTTGCAGATAACTTGTTTTATAAAGGGCCAGATACTAGATATCTTAAGCTTTGAGGCCCTTGTATGTTCTCTGTAATGTATTCTTTATTGTTGTTTACAACTCCTTAAAAACGTAAAAATATTTTGTAGCTCTTTTGTACAGGCCTTAAGAAAATAGGCAGAGGGCTTTAGCTTGCTAACTCTAACTAAACAATTACTTTTTAATTAGTTGCTTTAAAAAAGAAAAAGTACAGACCCAAATGTGAAAGGTTATTTTCTTAAGGTAAAATTATAACTCATGTACAAATTGAGCACACAGAGAATTTTAGCTCACTAATTAATGAAAGAACCAATAAAATGTTAAAATCAGTCCAAATGAGAATTGGACTCAAAGAGATTTATATTCTCTCCCAGACAGAATTCATTTACATTGTGATATGGTTTGGCTATGTCCCCACCCAAATCTCATCTTGAATTGTAGTTCCCATAATCCCCATGTGTCGTGGGACCCAGTGGGAAGTAATTTAATCATGAGGGAGTTACCCTCATGCTGTTCCCATGATAGTGAGTTCTCATGAGATCTGATGGTTTTATAAAGAGCAGTTCCCCTGTACATGCTGTCTTGCCTGCCGCCAAGTAAGACGTGCCTTTGCTCCTCCTTCGCCTTCCACCATGATTGTGAGGCCTCCCCAGCCATGTGGAACTATGAGTCCATTAAACCTCTTTTTCTTTATAAATGACCCAGTCTTGGGTATTTCTTCATAGCAGTATGAAAATTGACTAATATAGTAAATTGGTACCAGTAGAGTGGGGTACTGCTATTAAGATACCCAAAAATGTGGAAGCAGTTTTGAAACTGGGTAACAGAGGTTGGAACAGTTTGGAGGGCTCAGAAGAAGATAGGAAAATGTGGAAAAGTTTGGAACTTCCTAGAGACTTGGAGGGCTCAGGAGACAGGAAGATGCAGGAAAGTTTGGAACTTCCTAGAGTCTTGTTGAATGGCTTTGACCAAAATGCTGATAGTGATATGGACAATAAAGTCCGGGCTGCGATGGTCTCAGATGAAGATGAGGAACTTGTTGACAACGAGAGCAAAGGTGACTCTTGTTATGTGTTAGCAAAGAGACTGGCGGCACTTTGCCCCTGCCCTAAGGATCTGTGGAACTTTGAACTTGAGAGAGATTATTTACAGTATCTGGCAGAAGAAATTTCTAAGTGGCAAAGTGTTTGAGAGGAAGCAGAGCATAAAAGTTTGGAAAATTTGCAGCCTGGTGATGCAGAAGAAAAGAAAAACCTGTTTTCTGCTGAGAAATTGAAGCCTGCTGCAGAAATTTGCATAAGTAACAAGGAACTGAATGTTAATCACCAAGACAATGGGGAAAATGTCTCCAGGGCATGTCACAGACCTTTGCAACAGCCCCTCCCATCACAGGCCTAGAGGTCTAGGAGGAGAAAATGGCTTCGTGGGCCAGGCCGAGGACCCCCCTGCTGTGTACAGCCCACAGGTTTGGTGGTCTGCATCCCAGCTGCTCCACCCTTAACTAAAAAGGGCCAAGATACAGTTCAGGCCATGGCTTTGGAGGGTGAAGGCCCTATACCTTGGTAGCTTCCATGTGGTGTTGAGCCTGTAGGTACACAAAAGTCAAGAATTGAGGTTTGGGAACCTCCACCTAGATTTCAAAGGATGTATGGAAACGCCTGGATGTCCAGGCAAAAGTTTGCTGCAGGGGCAGAGCCCTCATGGAGAACCTCTGCTAGGGCAGTGCGGAAGGAAAATGTGGGGTTGGAGCCCCCACACAGAGTCCCCACTGGGGCACTGCATAGTGGAGCTGCTAGAAGAGGGCCACCATTCTCCAGACCCCAGGATGGTAGATCCACTGACAGCTTCCACTGTGCACCTGGAAAAGCTGCAGACACCTAACGCCACCCCATGAAAGCACCCAGGAGCAGGGCTGTACCCTGCAAAGCCACAGGGGTAGAGCTGCCCAAGGCCATGGGAGCTCACCTTTTGCATCAGTGTGACCTGGATGTGAGACATAGAGTCAAAGGAGATCATTTTGGAGCTTTAAGATTTGACTGCCCTGCTGGATTTTTGGACTTGTATGGGGCCTGTAGCCCCTTCATTTTAGCCAGTTTCTCCCATGTGGAATGGGTGTATTTACCCAATGCCTGTACCCCCATTGTATCTAGGAAGTAACTAACTTGCTTTTTATTTTACAGGCTCATAGGCGGAAAAGACTTTGCCTTGTCTCACATGAGACTTTGGACTATGGACTTTTGAGTTAATGCTGAAATGAGCTAAGACTTTCGGGGACTGTTGGGAAGGTGTCAACAAAAAGAGTCATACTTTGTAAAATATTTGAATAGATTTATTCTGAGCCAAATATGAGTGACCATGGCCCATGACACAGCCCTCAGGAGGTTTTGAGAACATGTGCCCAAGATAGTTGGGTTGTAGCTTGGTTTTGTACATTTTAGGGAAGCATGAGACATCAATCAAATACATTTGAGAAATACATTGGTTTGGTCCACAAAGACGGGAGAGTTCGAAGCAGGGGCTTCCAGGCTATAGGCAGATTTAAACATTTTCTGGTTTACAATTGGTTGAGTTTGTCTAAAGACCTGGGATTAATAGAAAGGAAATGTTCAGGTTAAGATAAAAGATGGTGGAGACCAAGGTTCTTTTGAAGTCTCATAGTAGCTGCCCTTAGAGACAATAGGTGACAAATGTTTCCTATTCAGACCTCTAAAAGGTGCTAGACTCTCAGTTAATCTCTTCAGGATTGGGAGGGCCTGGAAGAAAAAGATCTAGCTGTTTAATAGAGATTCTTTACAGATGCAGATTTTACCCCTACAAAGCATGGCCTTGCAAGGCCATTTCAAAATATGGCAGAGAAATATGTTTTGGGGTAAAATATTTTGATTTTCTTCTTTGTCACATAACGTTATGCCAGAGTCAGATTGGAAAGTAAGTCATGATACATAGGGTTAAATAAAACCCAGCTGATGAGAATTTATGGTTTGTAGGGCATGACTCCTGAAACTCCTTAGATAGGAATTTGGGCAAGATTTACAAAAATCAGAGCTTAGTCCTCAAAGGCATGATTGGTTTTGAAATGTGAGGACATGAGATTTGGGAGGGGTCAGGGGCAGAATGATATGATTTGGCTGTGTCCCTACCCAAATCTCGAATTGTAGTTCCCATAATCCCCATGTGTTGTTGGAGGGACCTGGTGGGAGGTAATTTAATCACGGGGCCAGTTACCCTCATGCTGTTCTCATGCTAGTGAGTTCTCATGAGATCTGATAGTTTTAAAAGGGGCTTTCCCCCTTTTGCTTGGCACTTCTTGTTGCCACCATGTGAGAAATGATGTGTTTGCTTCCCCTTCCGCCATGATTGTAAGTTTCCCAAGGCTTCCCCAGCCCTGTGGAACTGTGAGTCAGTTAAACCTCTTTCCTTTATAAATTACCCAGTCTTCGGTATGTCTTTATTAGCAGCATGAGAACAGACTAATACACATTGCATCACAAACACTGTCCATGAGGCAATTTCTGTCTCTAAAGACTTGGAAAACAACCTAGCCAAAGACAAAGATTCACATCTTTATTCAATCAGATAACTTCAAAGGGTCCAATAGACAACACCCAGCATTCCCTTGAAAGGACATTCAAAATCTTTTACCATTTTGGTCTTCCATAAATTTTGCTGACAGTCTCCCATCTCTCTTGTGATCAAGAATAATTTTCAAAGGTTATTATTAATTATGATTTTTTTTTTTTTTTTTTTTTTTTTTTTTTGAGACAGAGTCTCGCTCTGTCGCCCAGGCTGGAGTGCAGTGGTACAATCACAACTCAAAGCAAATTTCAACTCCTGGGCTTAAGTGATTCTCCCATCTCAGCCTCCCAAATATCTCCAAATGTTATTCTTGATCACAAAATAGTTAGTCTTGTTACCAGAAAGCCATCCCAATCCAAACCCCAAGAGAGGGTTCTTGGATCTCGCACAAGAAATAATTCAGGGCGAGTCCATAGAGTAAAGTAAAAACAAGTTTATTAGGAAAGTAAAAGAATAAAAGAATGGCCTCCATAGGCAGAGCAGCCCCAGGGGCTGCCCATTCTTATGGTTATTTCTTGATTATATGCTAAACAAGGGGTAGATTATTCATGCCTCCCCTTTTTAGACCAATATAGGGTAACTTCCTGACATTGCCTTGGCATTTGTACACTGCCTTGGAGCTAATGGTGGGAGTGTAGCAGTGGGGAGGAACAGAGGTCACTCTCATCGCCATCTTGGTTTCAGTGGGTTTTAGCTGGCTTCTTTACTGCAACCTGTTTTATCAGCAAGGTCTTTATGACCTGTATCTCATGGTGACCTCCTATCTCATCTTGTGACTAAGAATACCTGAAGTTGCTGGGAATGCAGCCTAGCAGGTCTTAACCTGACTTTACCTAGCCCATAGGCACGCTGAAGTTACTCAGGTGTAAACGTTTCTGACAGTCTCATTAGGTTTGGCCTGATTATTCACATAGGTGTAGCCACAGTGCTAGTTAGTCATACAGGGGCATCCTTGAACTATCTTTGCAAATCCAGAGCCATACAGTTTTGAGCAATTACTAAGACAACACAGTTAACTTCTGTGTGGACGTTTTCGTAAGGATTCAGATTGGACTTTTAAACACTCTTTATTATTTACTATACTAAGGTTAGGAAAATACACCTGAGAAACTCTCTCACCAGATTTCACCTGTGGTACCTATAAATTTGGGTGAATTAATCTCATCTTCAAGTCCCCAGTATTTTCTAAGGCTTGCCAGGAAGTGACTTTCCTTACCACCTCAGGAATCAGGCCAGTGTTCCTGGGAGTACTTTCTTTTAGGCATTGGCTCCCTATATCAAGTCAACTATTGTTTCTTAAAGTAGTTTGTCAATGAGAATTATTCTCAAATGTGATGTTCTCATTTATGAGATTCCAGTATATACAGTTACAAAATCCAATTATATCTTGATAAAAAGGAGATGAGATTGGTATTGATCCTATGCAAATAACAGTATTGCCATAAGTTAAGGAAAACTCAGTATGTTTCTGAATGCTCAGTATTCCATGAAAATCAGATACTACTTAATGTTTTATTCAGATCACAGAGGCAGAATCAATCTACTAAAATGTGGGTTAGAAGTAGTTTAAGGAGAAAGTGAAAGGGCTTCCTCATATAGCCACAAAAAATAGAACAATAAGATAACATGGGATGGGCACAGTGTTTCATGCCTATAATCCCAGCACTTTGGGAGACTGAGGTGGGAGGATCACTTGAGCCCGGAAGGTTGAGGCACTGCACTCCAGCCTAGATGACACAGAGAGACCCTGTCTCAAAAAAAAAAAAAAAAAAAAATTCAATCTTGGGGAAGGCAAGATCAAAAGAGTTAACAAAGGACATTTGGGCCCCTGATTAAGATAGTATCATGGATAAGAAACAATACTTGATTATTTAATCAAAATGAGAATAAAAGATAAGGTACTACAATTGTAAAGAACCTAAGCTCTTTCACAAGTAAAGAACCTTTGTTCTTTCCGGTTTGGTTTGTTTTGTATTTAATCATCTAGAACATAATCCAACATAAAGCCAGAGAATTATTGTGCTCTCTAAGAAAATTATACACAAATAAGAATCATCTTTCATATTATAGATGAAGGCATTAATCAGTAAACCAAAGACGCAAACCCATCAAAGCTGATTAAATGTTGCCAAAATTTTAACATGTTTCATGGCTTCTTTTCACATCCCAGTAGTATATTTTACAAGGCAAATCAAATTCACTTTTTAAGATTTGTCTTTCTAGCCTGGGAAACATGCTGAAACCCCATCTCCACAAAAAAATACAAAAATTAGCTGGGCATGGTGGTGTGCACCTGCAGTCCCAGTTACTTGAGAGGCTGAGGTAGGAGGATCACTTGAGCCCGGGAGATGGACATTGCAGTCAGCCGAGATGGTACCTCTGCACTCCAGCCTGGGCAACAGAGCAAGACCCCATCTTAAATAAATAAATAAATAAATAAATGATTTGTCTTTTACATTCTTTAACAAACTGTTACTTTAGTTTGGGACAAAAAAATGCTCCTTTTCCTTTAAAAACAAAAAGACTTACACCTTATATTTCTCTGTTACTATTGTTCCTAGTGTAGTTATAACCACCTGTATCAATTATGACTTCTGTTTCAGAGAGAAAACTGGGTAGAGAGAATGGATAATAAGAACTACGTCATACACAAGCATCTTAGCAGACTAGTAAAGCTCACAAATACACATAGCAGACTTTCTATAGTCACACACATCTCTTTAACACCTTCTTAACAAGGCAAAAATGAAGCCATTTGTTAACATTACTCAAAGATATAACCACTCTAATAGCATATACAAAACAAGCAAAAGTATGTAAGCTTAAAACTATGTTTAAACAATGTTTTACTCTTCTAATTAGAAATTCATCTGGGCATCCAAAAATTACTATTAATTAGCTCCATTTAACATTAGTCTGTGATTTTTAAATTACCATAAGATCCTGGAGATATTTAAGCTGACACATAATTGCTATTGATATAAAAAGCTTGTCAGCATTGTGATTCAATTTAGATTAACACAAACTTTCGTTTTTAAAATACTAAACATTACAAAAGAAGAGTAATATTAATTTTATCACTAAACCTGTATAAGTAAGTTTACAAAGTTCAGATTAAATTTTTTCTACATGAAAAAACAAACCCCAAGTGAAATAAACTGTATATAGTATTATAGTTAACTCTGATACTAGCCTCAGTTTGCCAAATATTTACCTTAAGTATGTGAATTTGGATTCTTAAAATGTTTCCAAACTGATAGAATCTGTAAGAAGAATCTTTTGTTCTTTGTCTAGCATATTTAAAGTGTCAGATGTTCACTTTTTTCTTTTCTTAGATTTGTAGGGATGTTTGACATATATATATGTGCTTATTTAGCTCTGTAAAACGAATGAGATCCGAGGTCCTTTAATTTAGGAGACATTATAATCTAATTTATTAATACTCTCTAAAGGTAGGAAAATGTTTTATACTTACAAACAAGAGGCCATGGTCTTTCTGTTTTGTTTTTTAAAGATAGAGTCTCACTCAAACCCAGGCTGAAATCATAGCTCACTGCAGCTCAAACTCCTAGGCTCAAATGATCCCTTTACCTCAGCCTTCCAAGTAGCTGGGACTACAGGCATGTACCACCATGCCCGGCTAATTTTATTTATCATTTTTGTAGAGACAGGGTCTTGTTATGTTGCCCAGGCTGGTCTCAAACTCCTGGCCTTAAGTGATCCTCCCACCTCAGCCTCCCAAAATGTTGGGATTACAGGCATGAGCCACCACGCCTGGCTGTTGTGGTGTTTCTGAATTACAGGACACATAAAGACCTATGGCTTTAGTTCTACAACTTTTTAGCCACGGGTCAAAAGTAAACACAGAATCACAAAACCTCACTGGTCCAGATCTCAAAGAGCTGTTCCCTTTCATTGCCCAGGCTGGTCTCAATCTCCTGGCTTCAAGTGATCTGCCCACCTCAGCCTTCCTAAAGTGCTGGGATTATAAGTATGAGCCACCACGCAGAGCCAGAATTCTTAATTGAATTACACTCGACATAGACAAATGGACAGAAAAGTCTGACAAGCTGGATAATGTTTTGATATCTCATTCAACAGAGAATAGATATCTATCACTCTTCTGTAGAGACCTCAAATGGTCAAACCATAAAACCAAATTATCAATTAGTGCTGCCATCAGTGAGGAGTAACTTACTGACCATGCATAAACCAGAAACAAAAAGTCAGCAAGAGAAGAAACAAATGAGAACAAGGAAATCAGCAAAACTAAAGTCCTACTGCCACTTAGGATTTCCTTTGGGAGCTAAGAAGAGATGTACCCAGGCTAAAACAGTCAATGAGGAGGTACATTTATCTAGTAACTCAGTTTACTTGGTTCTGTCAGATAAATTCATTGCCATCTTGGCGGAACCTCTAAAAATGTGAAAAGGTAATTTTTTTCAAAAAGATAAAATCATTACTTTTATATAATGATTTAAAAGCAGACACAAAGTCTGCTTTAGGCCCAGACAACTCTCCAGGGCAGCTGTCCTCCATTTAGTGGTTTATCCAATCAAAGCAGATTTGATCCATGGCACCATGTCTCAACATATGCTTCAGTGATCTCAGTGGTAGGGTAAGAGAGGATAAAAGAGCTTCACATTAGCAATTAAATGCTTTGACTTAGGTTACACACTCACTTCCTTTTTTTCACAACCCATTGGTCAGAACTAGTCACATGGCCTTGCAAAGGGAACTGGGAAATGTAGTCTTCCATGTGTGTTCAGAAAGAGAAGCAGCACTGGAAATATCAGTGAGTGCCAACAATTGTACTTAAAATTATACAATTGTAACAAACATTAATCTTACAAAAGATTAAATACTGTACCTACCCAGGGAAGAATATGCAGTCCCCAACATTCAGCTGTATAATTGTGAAGAAAATAATAACTTACTAGATTTTATTTTAGACTGCACACAATCTAGTAGCTCGGTATATTTAAAAGCCCACATCAGATATATTACTATGGGAATACAGTTACAATAAGTGATTTTTGAGAGAAGGAAGGCAAAAAATATGGATTCTCTTATAGAGTCCTTCAAATTGAAATCACAACTGATTTGAAATAACAAAATACTTGTACATATATTTTTTTAAAACTGAAGGGATGGAAATCACAGTGGTAATAGCGGTTTGTTTGGTCTTCTAAGTGGTGAGATTACAGATAGTTTTTGCTTTCTTTTCTGCTCATTTGTGGTTTTCTACAATAAGGATGATTGTCTTAGAAGATACTGAAAATGCTAGTAAACAGAATTAAGCAAACAGCAGCTAGTGTTGATGCTAGTGGTACAGGATTAGGGTTTTTGTTGTTTTTGTAGAAACGTATTTACTCAGTTGAAACCTTACCACCTAATTTTTAAGTGAAAACAAAACTTCTATTAAATCAAATTCTTTATTAATTTGTTGTGGAAAGTCAGGGTCAGAGTTCTGTGTCTCTAGAGATGGAAAAGGAATTTCTGGAGCCATGGTTTCAACCCAGCATTTTCTTTATATTCATTCAAGGTGCTTTGGATTCCGTTCAGAGGGCTTTGTATGGTTTAAGTGAAAGATGTTAAACGCAGCTGGTGAATACTGATAGACCTTCTTTGACCTGTTAGTACTGTGCTGGCCTGAGCTTCCAGACCCATACTTAACTAGAAGTAAAGAAATTATCACACCTCCAGGCTCATAGAAAGGCTCATATCACACCCCCAGGCTCATAGGCTTTACTGTATTAAATTGTCTTCATGTCTGATTCCTTTCTGCATGTTAACCTCAGAGAAATATTAGTAGATATACTTTATACATGCCACACTATATTTTGTAATCATTTAAATTCCTCCTATGTGTGTTCCCCACAACTGCTTTTACAAATAAAGGAATAAGGTTCAGATCTGATAACTTGCCTAAATCCCAAAGTGACTTTTTCAAGTCAGAAACAGTCTTAATAAGATATTCAGTTCTGTCACGTAGTGTCTTGGGTGTTCAGTAAATAGTGTGTGTGATGATACAGGGGCTGAGCCTGGGCTTATGATTGTGATGTTTTAATCTCTTGCTTAGATTTCAGAGTGTTTTTCTCTCTGTCCATAGTGAATACGATTTTAGAGTGTCGTGCTCAGTTTTCTTTTTCTAGTTGTTCTCTCACTCATGTTCTATTTTCATTTTAAATGATTTTGCCAACCTAAAATGAAAAATAAGAGAAGAAACATTACAAAAGCATGGAAATCTGTTCTGGCAGTCTTCTGGGCCTTTATTGAAACATAGGTAGATTGCTTTTTCTTTGTATTTATTGAACCAAGCTACCTAAACAGTGTTATTTTATTTAGAATGTTTTTAATCTTCTTTAAGCGATTCTTTCAACCTTATCTGATTTAAATGAGAAGACAAATGTGAATGTTGAATTAATACCCTGTAGCTTTAAATCCAACCAGTGTGGTGCTTTTGTCTTTTATAAAAGATGCTCACAGCTGGAGAAGAGAGGCAGATACTGTCTGTGATCTCCATTCTCAGAGTCAAACTATTCATTTGCATTAGCTGCTCTAGCAAACTGCGTGCGCGCGCACACACACGGATGCTTGTTTGGCAGAAGCTTTCTGTTTATTCAGCACAGAGTTCTCCTAGGCTCCCAGATATAGAAAGCTCTAAGAGTTGCTACAGGAGATAGAATTGAAACTATACATAGGCTGAGGTGGGCACTGCGGAGGATTGGCTATGCGAGGGTATTAATGTGGTGCGGCTGTACCTGCCTGTTTTGTGAAAGTCACTTCTCTGAGACTGTGAAGGTGAGAAGCCCAGGGATCCACTAGAAGCTTCACTGCGGCTCTTTGGTGGGGGAAAGCATTCCCAGTGGTAGCTGTCCTCATTTGCAGCGTTATTCTCGGAAACCAAGTATGTGCAGCAGTGACAGACTATGCCACAGCTCCTCTGCAGTTTGGAAGCTGGAACAAATGGAAAGAGCTTATAGCCAAGAGAGGTTGTGATTTTTTTTTTTTTACCATCCAAGCTTTCTCTGGCAGTGCACAAATGAAGGATGAGCTTTGTGGCAAGCAAAATCAGCAGACTGCCTGACAGGGGGTTTTGGTAAGATAAATGTGTTGTGATTTTTTTCTTATTTTTTGACTTTTCTATATCAGCTGTATGGAATTGCTTCTTAGCAATAACTAAAACATTTTGCAAAATCATGTTTGATGGAAAAGGATGACCAAGGGAACCAGAAGGAGAAACATAACTTGTGGTCATTCAGTTGTGACCTTCAGAGATAATCCAAGTTTTCTCATGTGTCTCTCAACAGACAGAAGCCAGAAATTTCCAGAGCAAAGAATGCAGACTAACAAACCTCTTTTCTTTTCTTTGAATAGTCATAATTATGCTTTTTTTTCCCTGCTTTTTCTATAGTCTGAAGCGGGAGAAGGAAAAATAAAGCCTTCCTCCTGTTATAGAGTTGTTGCCACTGGAACAGTAATAGGCTGAGAACATAAGTATGGAGGTGGAGGAAGGCAGGATAAGGAGTCTGCTATTTTCATAGCTGTGCGTTGGTGGGTATTTGTCTTGGGTTCATTGTCATTGCTGTTTGATATCAAGTGGTTGTGAATGCTGTATCTCTTTGCCTCTACTATGACTGAATCTCTTTTATGTTCTCTTTTGTATATTTTCTTTGCCAGACTCAATTCTATTGATATGAAGCCTTTTTCTGTTACTGTTTATACATATTAGCCGTTATTAGAGAAAAAATAGTTGTAGAGAGTAGCCCTCCAATATTTATGGACCTCAAAAAAGATAAGGATGTTGTTTTTCTCTTTAAAATGTATGTTTTACTTTTAGCAGATTTTGGAGTCTTGCTTCTGGATTCTTTAATAAGTGTTTTATTACAAATTAGAGAAATGAGTTGCATTAGATTTGCAAAATCCTACCAGAATCACCTTGCTTTAAGTTGGATCTTATTTCTTATGTTTTTTTTCTAAACATTAAAGTTTACTTTTCCTCATCCTAACTTAGGCAGGTGTTACTGGAAGGTATATTCCTATCTCGGAGAGCCAAGTTTCCTAGCTGCTTAGAGTGGCCACAGAAGAGATCCATTGACACCTGACTTTTTGCTGACTCATTGGTTATGTAAGCCTTGTAAATACAACTCTCCATATACTCCATTAGGTTACTGGCAGGTGCCCTCCTCCCTGTTTACTGACCTTTTCCTCTCAGCATCCTTCTGTTCCTTCCGTAAGCCTTTTTGGTAAGATGATCAAAACCTTTCAACCAAGTCAATTCTAAGAAGCAGTGAATAGATAAATCCTTTTTATTTTTCTCTTTTTGAATTGCTACTTTCTTTAACTCTGTTTTCATCTCAATTATGATAAAATTCCAAATTCTCTATTTTCTTGGCATGTGAAACCTACTGTAATAGTGCTTTTCCTCATTTATGGCCTGATTAAAGTAGCAATCTCCTTTTCTATCTTTGAGGACTCAGTTCAAATGTGTTCTTGTTAAAAGAAGCTTTCTGTGACCTCCCAGACTAAAATAGATTTTCCTCCCTTACACTATTCCTTTTCTCATAATATTCTGTTCTTTTTCTTTGTAGCACTTTACACAATTTATATTGTTTGGTTACTGGTTTTTCTCTCTCTACCACTTTTCCCCACTCAGCCATAAACCTCCTGAAAGCAGACACTGTTTGTTCATCATTACATACCCAGCATTTAGCAAAATGGCAGGCTGAGAGTTGAAGAAAGGCAGCTAAGTAGGCAATATTGCAAATGCACTATGGTGAGAAAAAATAGGATAAGCACTGGGCACTGAAACAAGGCCAGTGTGACTAGAGTGGGGTACGTGGGAAAGGAAACATACTGTAAAATGAAGATCTAGGTCAGGCATGGTGGCTCACACCTGTAATCCCAGCACTTTGGGAGGCCGAGGCGGGCGAATCACCTGAGATTGGGAGTTCGAGACCAGCCTGACCAACATGGAGAAACCCCATCTCTACTAAAAAATGCAAATATTTTGTATTTGTATCTAGAGAGGTAGATCCAGGGCCTAACCACATAGGACTTTATAGACTGTTCAGATTCTTGTTTATTCTAAAATTGTAGGAAGCTACTAAAAGAATTTAAGTATTGAGTGATTTAGGCCTTTTAAAAAAAATAATTTCTTCAGCTTAAATGAGAACCTACGTGAATGCAGGTAGATCAATCAGGATGAGTGGTCCAGGAGAGAGATGATAAGAGTTCATCATAAGGTGGTAGCAGTAGAGGTAGATGGAGAGTGTTGTGTATTATGATGGAAATTTGGAAAGTAAAATTGATTGGCCTTATTGTTGGATCGGATATAGGTAGAAGGCAGAAGATGTCAAGAATGGCTCCTAGGCTTTGATTTGGTTTGGTTTTGGCTTGTGTAGCTTGATAGACAGATGCTTTTCCTGAGATATGGAACAGTGTAAGAAGATCTGATTTAGAAGAGGATTATGATGTTTGGTTTTGGACATGTAGATTTTGATATAGTCAAGTAGCCTTTTGGCTCTATAAGTCTAAATCCCAAAGGAGATCGTACTGCTCTTATCATTGGGAAACCTTTAGTGATATCCTTGGCATAAAATTTAGAACAGTAGTTTAGACCTACCTTGGCAGCCCATTTCTCACTACAGCCCTCTCCTGTGCCATTATTTTACAGCCTCGTCAGCCATTCAGTTATCATGAAGGTGCTATTACACTTTCTTCTTCTGGACTGTTCTGCATACTAGGCTGTTAACCTGAAATGCTTTTCCTTACCCTTTCTGTATCAGATACTAATTTCTTCAAGGCTCATTTTTATTGTTACCTCCTCCAATGAGCCTTATCTGTCCCCTTCTCATCTTTTTTTTTTTTTTAAATTTAATTTTTAAGTTTCTTTTAGAGACAGGGTCTCACTCTGTTGCGCAGGCTGGAGTGCCGTGGCATGATCATAGTTCAGTGCAGCCTTAGACTCCTGGGCTTAAGTGATTTTCTCACTTAGCCTCCTGAGTAGCTGGGACTACAGACTCACCCCACCAAACCTGGCTAATTTTTTTCTTTTTTGTAAAGACATGGTCTTTCTGTGTTAACCAGGCTGGTCTTAAACTCCTGTCCTCAAGCTAATCCTCCTGTGTCTGCCTTCCAAAGTGCTGGGATTACAGGTGTGAGCCACTGCACCCAGCTAGCCCCTTTCCCTTCTTTTAATACATGCTTCCCTCCTGTGTTCAAAGAGTACTTTGCTGTCATACCTGTGTCATTTATTTAATTGGACCTGCATTTCAGTTGATCATTTCCATGTTTCACCAACTAGATTGTGTGTTCCTTGAGAGCAGGGATTCCACCTTTATTCAGTGTTTTACATAAAGAAAAAATAATTGCAAAATGAATTAAATTGTAAAGCCTCAGTCTTTTTCACAACCTGTATCCATAATCTCATAGCACCATAATGTGCTTTCCCCATCTATCTGCTCCTAATTTTCTCTAAGCTATCCTACCCCGCAGATACCTAGATACAAAGCAGAAAATGTTTTTCCTTTCATATGCAGAATTCCTGAATCCGTCCCTTTTATCATATACTTTTCTACTTTACTTTATTTGTAATTTATCAGAAAAACTGAAATCTTTCCATTGCTCATCACATGTGAAAGAATTGGCCAAGGCAGGAAAGGACATCCACAACTCGCCTTGTTCTCTGTGTCTCCTCTTTTCCCATTCTTCTGGAGTAAGTCCAGAATCCATCTAGTATTTTTCAGTGAGGTCATTGTTGGCATTTAAGATCAGGTAATTTTTGAGACTACACTGCAGGAGAAATGCCCCCAGGCCTAGTGCCACCTGGAGGGATGGTACTGCCCGTAGTCTCTCCCACTCTCCCCGACTCCTACATCAACAGAGTATAGAAATGCATAAACAAATTATGAAAATTGGATCCTTACCATTTAAGTAATTCCCTCACAGAGGCTTAAGCATTCAATTTGCCTTTTCAGAAGTCTTTGAATAGCTGAATGTTCTTCTTATCTCAGTTAACACTGGTGTGCATTGATTCTCAGTCTTTTGGAATCCAAGTTTTATTGATTTATTAGCCCTTTTAGGAGTTACAGATACCTCTATTTAAAAACCTGGAACAACTAGACAAGTCTCTGAAGTCCATACCATTTACATATTTAAGCAATTTTTTACAATTTGTCATAGATATCCTTAATTTATTTCCAGGATCTTTAAACATTGATGACATTCTTAAGACGTTAGAGACAGTATATACAGCAGGCATTTACACCAACTTTATCAGTGTATCTGCTTTATTCTGTTGTACAAAAAGCAACTGTGTTCTCAAAATTAAGTACAGATTTTAGGAAAGATAACACCCTGGAGTATCCCTTGCCGAAGATTTTATATTTTTTAAAGGACAGAAACTTGATCTGTTGAGATTGTATCAGGAGTCTGAACAATAAGCTGTCCTGTCTGTTTAAATAAATTTCTCTTAAAATAATTTTTATTCAGGGCAGTAATAGACACTGGGGACTCCAAAAGGTAGGAGGATGGATGGTGGTGGGGCGGTGGGGGTTGAAAAATTAACTATTGGGCACAATGTTCACTATTCAGGTGATAGGTATACTAAAAGCCCAGAGTTCACCTCTGTACAATATGTCCATGTAACAAAACTGCATT
Organism: Homo sapiens; assembly: GCF_000001405.40. NCBI lineage: Eukaryota > Metazoa > Chordata > Mammalia > Primates > Hominidae > Homo > Homo sapiens. Next base: position 129,683,614 of record NC_000003.12, on the reverse strand, counting down.
TGTACCCCCTAAATCTATGAAAAACAAAACAAAGAATTAAAAACCTATTGACATGTAGAAAAATAATTTTTATTCGGTTACAGGTAACCAAGTAATGCTAGAACTACAGTCTGTCAAAGATCAGACATGGGTGTACTATACAACAGAGAGCTCACAATTTGGAATCAAAGGCTTGAGTTAGCCTCTGAGCCAGATTTTTCATGTAGAAAATTAGAATAGTGCCTGCCTCACTGGATTAATAAGATAATACGGTTGGGTGCCAAACATGCCCAGCTACTAGACACTAGGGAAAGCAAGTTAGAAAAAGATAAATCTAGTCTTGGAATACTCATAGACCAGTGGTGTACAAGGTAGAATGGAAAAAAGGAGACTGTTTAAATAATACTCTGATCACCTATGGTTGGCATGAAAAGGATTGGCATGCAGTGTTATAAAAGCAAAAACAGTAGAACTTAGAAGCTGCTTAAAAACTTTGGCAAGGGCCGGGCGTAGTGGCTCATGCCTGTAATCCCAGCACTTTGGGAGGCCAAGGCGGGCGGATCACCTGAGGTCCAGAGTTCGAGACCAGCCTGACCAACGTAGAGAAACCCTGTCTCTACTAAAAATACAAAATTAGCCGGGCATGGTGGCGCATGCCTGTAATCCCAGCTACTCAGGAGTCTGAGGCAGGAGAATCAGTTGAACCCGGGAGGCGGAGATTGCGGTGAGCCGAGATCGCGCCATTGCACTCCAGTCTAGGCAACAAGAGCGAAACTCTGTCTCAAAAATAAAAATAAAAAAACTTTGGCAAGAAGGGGAAAAGATCAGAAACATGCTTTTACTCTTGATTACTGGAAAAAGGATGAAAACAGGTTTATAAGGAGACAGGTATTTTTGAAAGAGAGGCGAGGACATTGAATGCTTAGTTTGAGACAGATTTTGATTTGTCAGGGGAAACACAGAAGGATATTCATGTAGAAATAGCCATTAGGCAATTGAGAATTTAAACCTAGAGACAGAGAGAGTCATCTATGTAGCAGAGAGTCTGAAGCTTGGAGAGGGTATCACAGTTAAATCTACAGAACTGCTATATCCAGCAGGCACTGTAGGCTCAGGGAGGCAGGGGACTGAGCTTTTTAAGGGCCTACAGAAACCCTATTATCTAAAATATAAACAGGAGAAGTTTTAAATCTTAATAAATATTTAATGACAGTTGCAAAATGCAACTGTCAGTTTTAATTGTTATATTTAACATTATTTGAGTATTTCATTTGAAAACAATTTGTAGTTTATATTTTCTTCTTCATGATACGTGTCAAGAATATTTAAAGTTATTTGTAGCTGGGCATAGTGACGTGGGTCTGTAGTCCCACCTACTCTGGAGGCTGATGTGGGAGACTTGCTTGAGGCCAGGAGTTTGAATCTACAGTGCACAATGATCACGCCCATGAATAGCCACTGCACTTGAGCCTTGGCAACATAGCAAGACCCTATCTCTAAAAATAAGGTAGTTGTTTCCAGATAATTTGTCAGATAATTTCAGTGCAAAATAACAGAAAAACTTAAGTTTTCAGTTAAAAATTATATTTAATATGAGGATATTTTATGTGTTTTATATGTGCATGGAACCTCTAAAAGTAGGAACACTTAGGGCTTTTCTGGCCTCTCCCTTTCTCATTTCTTTATTTTTATTTTATTTATTTTTTAATTAAAAATTTTTTTTTTTTTTTGAGACGAAGTCTCACTGTTGTCCAGGCTGGAGTGCAGTGGTATGATCTCAGCTCACTACACCCTCCACCTCCCAGGTTCAAGCGATCCTCCTGCCTCAGCCTCCCAAGTAGCTGGGATTACAGGTGTGCACCACCATGCCTGGCTAATTTTTGTATTTTTAGTAAAGACGGGGTTTTACCATGTTGGCCAGGCTGGTCTCAAACTCCTGACCTCAGGTGATCCGCTTGTCTCGGCCTCCCAAAGTTCTGGGATTACAGACGTGAGCCACTGCACCTGGTCTCCTCTTCCTCATTTCTATTGGCACTGTGTTCTAGTGGCTTATGATTATTATAGCTTCCTACCTGGCCTCCTACCCACCAGCCTCTGTATACTCTATTTCATTTACTCATGGATACCAGATTAAGCTTCTAAGTACATAGCTCTGGTAATGTTAGTTCCCTACTGAAAAAAAAAAACGTTGACTACTTATCATTCTTTACCTCCTAGCGAGTTAGATAGTAAAGGAAGGTTATTTAAATTAAAATAAATTCAAACCGTGAGTATTCCTATACTTTCCCTAAATATTGACCAAACTATATTATTTACTGCTTTATAAAATATGTAGAATTTTTCTGCCCTCTTGGAAATGACCCTTTTTATAAGTCTGTCAGAATTCCATTTTGAAGTGCAGCAAAAATACCATCTGCTTTGTAAAACTTCTTAGTCACCCCATCTCAAACCAGGTATTTCTTTTTTCTGAATCCCCATAGATGTTTGGAAAATGCCATAAATATTATAATATACACATTTTACATATTAAAACAAATTATTTGACCTTCTGTCTCCACCCCCCATCATATAAGCTGCTTTTGAACAGTGCCGTATCACTACCATCATCATATCTCCTATAGCACCTTGCTTCATACTTTGCATATACATAGTTAATAAATTTTAGGAGAAAGGATGTAATCACATATGTGGGATTCCCATTCAGAGTCTAACTTTTTCTTCCTTTTTTTTTTTTTTGAGACAGAGTCTTGCTCTATCACCCAGGCTGGAGTGCAGTGGTTCCATCTCAGCTCACTGCAACCTCCACCCCCCGGTTCAAGCAATTCTCATGCCTCAGTCTCCCAAGTAGCTCGGATTACAGGCGTGCACCACCATGCCTGGCTAGTTTTTGTATTTTTAGTAGAGACAGGGTTTCGCCATGTTGGCCAGGCTGGTCTCGAACTCCTGACCTCAAATGATCCACTCGCCTCAGCCTCCCAAAGTGCTGGGATTAGAGGCGTGAGCCACCAGGCCTGGCCCAGAGTCTAACTTTGTAAAAATCATCAGTGCCTCCCTATTCTGCTGCTCAAGTGGTAGTGGTTATGACTTATGACAAGCGACGCAGTGAATAGCAAGGACTCTAAAGCCAAGTCCTCTGAGTTCAAATCCTGACTCTGCTGCTTATTGGCTATGTGACCTTCGACAAGTCACCTAACTTCTCCTGATTCAATTTCTTCGGCTATAAAATGGAGATTAAAATAGTATATATCTCCTAGGTTTGTTTTGAGGATTAACCAAGTTAATATAAGCAAAGCATTTAGATTTGTACCAGGTTCATAGTAAGCACTCAGTTACTACTATTACCTTTGCTACTATCATCTTCGTATTTACACATAAACCAGATTGAGTCTTCCACTTTCGTAGTCTCAGAAAATGTCTGTCTATCTAAGGAGTAGAAATATTCATGTAGTTCACAAAGAAGAAAAATAATTTTGGGCATTTAACACATGTTTTTAATAAAACGAGAATACTAAAGTATTTTAGGGCAATTCATGCAAGAGTATAAATGAACTCTAAGCTTTTTAAAAAATTATAAAATGTCTGATTTTAATGTATGAAGATAAGGTACTTTGGGAAGCTTTTAAAAGTCAATCTCTGATGCAATAAGATCCTGTTATAACACAGATGAAGAAGTTATAAATAAGCTTGTTAAGATTTCTTGGTGATACAATAAATGGAAACACTTCAGATTCTAATGAAAGAGTGGAACATAGCACACCCAAAAAATACTCTGAATAAATAAGAGAATAGGAAATTGTATTCATTCAACAAATATTTGAGCAGCTGCTAAGTGCCATGCACAATTTTAGTTGTTAGAGAAACAAAAGTGGACAAAACACAAAAATATCTACCTTCATGGGCCTTATATTCTAGTTTTTTATGAAATATAAAAATACATGTCAAAAGGTAAAGAGTTCTATGTAGAAAAATGAAGTCAAGAAAGAAAATAGGAAGTTCATAATGGAACCAAAATTTGCAATTTTAAATAAGGCAGGCCAGGCGTGATGGCTCATACCTGTAATCCCAGCACTTTGGGAGGCCAAGGTGGGCGGATCACGAGGTCAGGAGTTCAAGACCATCCTGGCCAATATGGGGAAACCCCATCTCTACTAAAAATAGAAAAATTAGCCAGGCGTGGTGGTGCGCACCTGTAGTCCCAGCTACTCGGAAGGCTGAGGCAGAAGAATCACTTAAACCCTGGAGGCGGAGGTTGCAGTGAGCCGAGATTGTGCCACTGCACTCCAGCCTGGATGACAGAGCACGACTCCATCAATAAATAAATAAATAAATAAATAAGGCAGTCAGAGAAGTCCTCGCTGCTAAGGTGACATTGAAGCAAAGACTTAAAGGAGGTGACGGAGCAAGCCGTGCAGGTGTCTGAGGGAAGAGCACTCCAGAAAGAAGGAACACTCACTGCGTGAAAAGCCCTGACATGGGTGCCTGTCTCTCATGTTCCAGGAACAACAGGGGAGGCCACTGTAGCTGATGCCAGTGGAGTAAAGGGATGACTAGTAAGAGATGAAGTCACGGAGTTTATGGGATGTAGTGGTGCAGGTGTAGATCATGGCCATTGTAAGAACTTTGGCTTTTACCCTGACTGACCTAGAGAGCCACTGGAAAGTTACAGGTATAAAAAGAGTGTCGTAATCTGACTTATGTTTTAAAAGAACTACTCTGGCTGCTCTGCAGATAATTATAAAAATATTATTGCAGTTATAGGAGACTGTTGCATTGCTAGGACAATATGGTGTATACATAGTGGTTAATAACACATACTCTGTAGCTAGACTATCTGGGTTCAGACATTGAGTCTGGTACTTCTTTAATTTGTGATCTTGAACAACTTAAATTCCCTATGCTTTGGTTTTCTTAGCCATAAAATTAGGATAAATAATAATACCCATTCCATAGTGTTACTATAAAGAATTAAACAATGAGGCCGGGCACGGTGGCTCACACCTGTAATCCCAGCACTTTGGGAGGCTGAGGCGGGTGGATCATGAGGTCGGGAGTTTAAGACCAGCCTGGCCAAGATGGTGAAACTCCGTCTCTACTAAAAATACAAAAAATTAGCCGGGCATGGTGGCACACGCCTGTAATCCCAGCTACTCGGGAGGCTGAGGCAGAAGAATTGCTTGAACTCAGAGGGTGGAGGTTGCAGTGAGCCGAGATTATGCCACTGCACTCCAGCCTGGGCAACAGAGTGAGACGCCATCTCAAAAAAAAAAAAAAAAAAAGAATTAAACAATGTACATGCCAAGGGTTTAGAACAGTGCTTAGCACATAGCAAGTATACTATATGTATTAGCAACTATGATTATTAATGTTGTTATTAAGTGGATATGGATATAAGGTATATGAGAAAAAAAAAAGAATTGGCCAGGCGTGGTGGCTCATGCCTGTAATCCCAGCACTTTGGGAGTCCAAGGAGGGTGGATCACTTGAGGCCAGGAGTTCGAGACCAGCCTGGCCAACATGGCAAAACCCCGCCTCCACTAAAAATTAGCCAGGTGTGGTGGCATACACCTATAATCCCATGTAATTTGGGAGGCTGAGGCATGAGAATCGCTTGAACCCAGGAGGCAGAGGTTGCAGTGAGCCAAGATCATGCTACTGCACCCCAGCCTGGGCGACAGAGCGAGACTCTGTCTCAAAAACAAATAAAAAATGAACCGACTGTTGGACATGCAAGTAGAGATACTAAGTAGGTAGTTGGATATCTGAGTCTAGTATTAAGGGAAGTGTGAGCTAGTGGTGTACATTTAGAATTCATCAGCAAATAAATGATTTTTAAGAGTAAGAAGAGTAATTAGTCCTAACGTGGGATTAGGGGTATATCATTCGAACAGCTCTTCCTTGGACCCTCTACTCTTCACAAGCTTCCTAACAAGCCATGACAACCAGCTCAGGGAGAGCCAGATTATCATAGACCCTATTGAGCATTTTGGATCCCTTCATTACTTTAGAATTTCATCTTATCACAATTGCTTGAAATAAATAGAATTAAGCTAAGGCTGAGAAATATTCTGTTTTAATGACACTGTATCATTGAAGTATTTGTAGCAGGAATTAACTTGTAAAGGAGAACTTATTGAGCAGTTCTATAGTCACATTGGCTTGTCTGCACATGAATATTATATGTATTTTTTAATTCTCAGTAATAAAAGCACCTTTTTTGTTACCGTCTCCTTTTCCTGGTTAGCACATGCTCAGAAAATAGAAAATTTTTAACATTTTCCCACATTAACAGACTTCAGACTAATTGTATATAATATACTTCATTCTAAAGTCTTGTGAGAATGATTCTTGAATATTATAGCCTGAGTCACTATTCTTTTTTGGGGGACCCTGTCACCCAGGCTGGAATGCAGTGACACAATCTCAGCTCACTGAAGCCTTGACCTTCCAGGCTCAAGCAATCCCCCCACCTCAGCCTCCTGAGTAGCTGGGACTACAGACGTGTGCCACCATACCCGGCCAAATTTTTTTTTTTTTTTTAGAGACAGGGTTTCGGCATGTTGCCCAGGCTAGTCTTGAACTCCTGAGCGCAAGTGATCTGCCCATCTCGGCCTCCCAAAGTGCTGGGATTAGAGGCATGAGCCACCACACCTGGTCAATTTATTAATTTTTTCTAGTTACAAATAGGTATTTGGATTTTGATTAATGAACGTACAGGCCAGGTTAAGTGATGGAAGAAGGTAACTAATTAGTTTACCATGTTTGGCAGGCATCATCTGACTTAATACATCTTTAACATTTTTTCAAAAAATCTCATTAGAAAATGATAACCCTGTTGTATAGATGAGAAAACTAAGGTTGAAAGAGAACAAGTAGGTGACCCAAAACCACACAGCTAGTAAGGTGATAAAGCTAGGTTTGAACCTAGGTCTTCTTATTCTTGCCCTTTCCACCACATTGCCTTTACACGTGATTATTCTCAAAGCTGGGTGCTATTGTGTTCTGACACTTTCATCTACTTAGAGAAAGTAGACAGAGCTAAGTAACAAAGCTAAGTTAAATGCTGCGCTCTAAATGGCACCACTCTGCCCTGATTATGTTGAGGTGTTGCTGTTTAGATTTTCTCTTGGGTTGTTTTCTGTCAATTAATTCAGATCAGTTAATAGATAAATTTAAGTCTGACAAACTATCTCTTAATATTAAGAGATACAATGCAGACAAAGCAGCATAGTCTGTTACAGCAACAGATCAGAATTGTGGCTTCTGACCATATCCCTAGCTTTTTAGCGCATTGCCTTGCATATAATAAACAGTCAAAATATATTTAACTGACTGATTTTTACCTTTTTCTATACAAATTAATTACAAATTCTAATATCAGCTGTGAATGGGCAGTATTTGCTGCACTGATGCTCTGGACTCTGACAGGAGAGTACAAAAGCCCCTCAGGATATGGTCAGAAAAAGACACCCTGTTGAGTAGCTGGGACTGCTGCTGCTTTCCTCATCCTGCCTTGTAATAACTGGTGGTGGGAGGCAATCAAGTCATTTGTAAATTAGTGATAACAACATCTGTAATTTTTTTTTTTTTTTTTTTTTTTTTGAGACAGAGTCTCGCTCTGTCGCCCAGGCTGGAGTGCAGTGGCGCGATCTCGGCTCACTGCAAGCTGTGCCTCCCAGGTTCACGCCATTCTCCTGCCTCAGCCTCCTGAGTAGCTGGGACTACAGGCACCCGCCACCACGCCCAGCTAATTTTTTGTATTTTTAGTAGAGATGGGGTTTCACCGTGTTAGCCAGGATGGTCTCGATCTCCTGACCTCGTGATCCGCCTGCCTCGGCCTCTCAAAGTGCTGAGATTACAGGCGTGAGCCACTGCGCCTAGCCTGTAATGTTGTTTTTAAGATTGGAAGGTTAGCTAGCCAAGTGTATAGCCACGAGGCCAACTATATCTAGCATAGGTGACTATATTACTTTTATTGTAATGTTGAATTACATTATTCCTTTGGTTCACTCTTTACGTATCTCTTGTTCATGCCTGAAATGTGGAAAGATCTTGGACGGGAATATATTCTAGGAACTCTTAACATTTAAATTTTTTAAAAGAACCACTTTCATGGTACAAAAACAGTGCTAACAACTTACTCAGTGCCAGGTATTGTTCTAAGCCCTTTTATATTTGTTGACCCATTTCATCCTCATAATTGTCTTCTAAAGTGAGCATTAGTACAGTTGATGAAATGGATGCGGAGGTTAAGTAACTTGTCTAAATAACTTGCTAGTAGCAAAGCCAGATTTGAACCCAAGCCATTTATGCCAGAATCCATGCTTCACTACTGTACTATATGGAGCCAGACTCAATCTTGTTTGTTGGATTTGTGCCTTTCCTTGTATATTTAAGAAAAGCCTTCCTTATTTTGCAGTGCTGCCTTTGAAAGGTTTTTAAATTTTGCCTTTTACATTTGGGATTTAATTGTCTATCTGGAGTGAGTTAGAAACCTAATTTTATGGCCGGGCACAGTGGCTCACGCCTATAATCCCAGCACTTTGGGAGGCGGGCAGATCACTGGGGGTCAGGAATTCAAGACCAGCCTGGGCAACATGGTGAAACCCCGTCTCTACTAAAAATGCAAAAAAAATAGCTGGGTGTGGTGGCGTGCGCCTGTAATCCCAGCTACTCAGGAAGAGGCAGGAGAATCGCTTGAAGCCAGGAGGCAGAGGTTGCAGTGAGCTGACGTCGCGCCTTTGCACTTCAGCCTGGGCAACAAAAGCAAAACTCTGTCTCAAAAAAAAAAGAAGAGAAATCTAATTTTATGTTGTTGTATATGAACAGCCTAATATGCCAGCAAAGGCTGTTGAAAAAGGGAACCACTTTTCAGTTGGTGCCTTCAAAACTCATAGCTAAGTGCTAAGTATTAATGCCTAGAGCATGGAATTCCCCTTTAAGGACTTTGTTCCTAACTCAGAGTATATCACGACTGTTTTCCTCCCCTGTCCTGTGATTCTGTAGTCCAATGTAACTTTCTCTTTCTTTCCTCCTTTACTCTCCCTCTGCACCCCACTCTTCTTCTTCCTCTCCTCTGGTTTTTTCCTCTCTCCTTCCCTTTCTTTCACTCCATCATTCTCCTCTCTTCCCCTCCCCTTATTTCCCATTTTCTCCCTCCTTTAAAAAAATTGTTTCTGCTAGAATTGGGAGGAGTTCCAGTAGTCCAGTGATTCATGGTTTCAGGTGTTAAACTACCTTACTGCTGAAGCTATGGGTTAGTTTTTTTAGAGGCTGAAGACGTTGGGTTCTATCAGCTATACTCTTGCAGGCATGTTGATGATTCTGAGTAGGAGCCAGGACACACTATGGCTCCAAACAGCCCAAGTAGGACGGAAGTCAGATTAAAGACAGCCTAGTTTATTTCTTCAGTTACTACATAAGGAAATAAAATCACATCTAAAATGTGATCACTTGTAAATATGGGGATACATTCTGAGGAATGCATTTAGGGAGTTTTGTCAAAGTGCAAACATCGCTGAGTGTGCTTACACAAACCTAGATGGTATAACGCCTGGGCTATGTGGTATAGCCTATTGTTTCTAGGCTACAAACCTGTACAGCAGGTTACTGTACTGAATACTGTAGGCAGTGTACCACAGTAGTGTTTGCATATCTAAACATAGCTAAACAGAAAAGGTACAGTAAAAATCTGGTATTATAGTCTTATGGAACCACTGTTGTATATGCAGTCCATCATTGACCGAAATGTCATTATGCAGCATATGACTGTATGTTGAAAGTTTAGTGTAGAGATTTTTTTTTTTTTTCATTTTAGAGATATAATCAAATACAATCATGGCTCACTGCAACCTCTGCTTCCCAGGTTCAAGCTATCCTCCCACCTCAGCCTCCTGAGCAGCTGGGACTCCAGGCATGTGCCACCATGCCCAGCTAATTTTTAATTTTTCTGTAGAGATGGGGTTTCCCCATGTTGCCCAGGCTGTTCCCAAACTCCTGGGCTCAAGCGATCCTCCCGCCTTGGCCTCCCAAAGTGCTGAGATTACAGGTGTGAGCCACTGTGCCTGGCCATAGCTACACTTCTTTAGTCTACAGATTGCATGTAAATATTCATATTAATATCAGAGAACCTAAGAGAGAGATAACTAGAGCATGCAGAAGCTTAGAGTCTTGGATCTAGTGACATTCTTATATTTGCTTTCCTTTATATTGTGGTATATTTTGAGCTTAATTATTAAACATAAATACTCATCAAGGTCAAGGATCTGAAATCTCATTCAGAAAGAAAATGCAACAATTGGAACCCTGTGCAACCTAGAAGACATTGGGCACTGAATAAAGTGGATTTCCAGGAGCTCTTGTTGCAACTCTTGGCACCTTGCTTATCTGGAACTCTGGCTGCTCCTCCCTTGTGCTGCGTCTGTCCATTCCACTGCTTGTTAGCATGCACCAAAAGATGAATTGGGCAGAAGGAGGAAGTGACACAAAACAGTTATTGTGCTAGTAACTATTCCAGATATTCTCTTTTATTCACTAGTGGTGCATAACGTTATTTTGTCATTAATTTCAGTATTAAATTCTCTTTTGATTTTATTTAAATGCACAGTATTTCTCATTTGTTCATCTAGAAAGAAGGTAGTGTTTTTATTCACATCAATGGTAATATATTGAATTCAATAATGAACTAAATGTGTTTTATGGCTCAGAGATCAGCATAGCTCCTGCTCAGATGGCAAACTGAGGTAATACATCCCAGATGAAAAAAAGAAGATGTTATCCCTAGGTTAATTATTGGCGTTTCATAAATATTTCAAACTTGGTGCATTATTGTCATGAAAATATGAGGAAGAAGGTGATCTTGTATATAGTTCTTTCTAGCAAATTGTTACCTGGTACAGATTAAGATGGGAACCAAGAAAAGGATTGTAATTTGGCACTTATACTGGGGATTTTTATTACCCTAAGAAGGTTATTTTATTACTCATTACTCATTACTCTGTTACTGCTTAACAGAGAGCAGGTTTGTTTTTTTATTTTTAGAGACAGGGTCTCGCTCTGTCACTCAGACTGGAGTGCAGTGGTGCAGTCATAGCTCACTGCAGCCTGGAACTACTGGGCTCAAGTGATCCTCCCACCTCAGCTTCCCTACTAGCTGGAACTATGGGTGTGTGCCACCATAACTGTGTAATTTAAAAAAAAAATGTGTAGAGAGGGGGTCTCACTATGTTGCCCAGGGTGGTCTTAAACTCTTGGCCTCAAGTGATCCTTCTCCTTTGACCTCCCAAAGCACTGGGAATATAGACGTGAGCCACTGTGCCTGGCCAAGAACAGTTTCTAGAGCCTTCTTCTTTGGGACCTATTCAAATTCACCACCACAAGCCACACCCAGGGATGACCTACTGAAGGATTTTTTTGTCCTGAATTTGGGAAACTTGACCTCCCCAAATTTAGCTAACTATGTTGAAGAGTGAACATTTATGCTTTTAAATCTGAGTATCTTGTCTTTTTCTTCAACTCCTTTGAATGGTTCTCACCCACATGAAAGGATTAAGTATACGTGCTTTGGAGTCCCTTGCCTAACAAAAACCTTTTACTGGATAAAGGTCACAAAATATGGGCTCCGAAAGACCTGATCCTTGTCCCTGACTTGTTAACTTAGCTCTTACTGTTCCTGTCCCTGAGTTTTCAAGTTTTCTTGCTCAAGGTTATCACCTTTGATTTGGTAACATTCATCTTTGCCACTTTCAGCAGTTACTTTCCCATCTTGCCTCCAACCATCTCCAGCTGCCACTTAAATATCCTTAGAATATATAGAATGATCCATCACCCTTGACATGATTTGGATAAAAATCATTATGATAAAAATTGCATTTTTATATCTAGCCAGTAACATACCTATTCTTGCCGACACATTTAGGTGACCATAATCTATAAGTGTGGATCAGAATTACAGTGATGTCTGAACACCAAAAGGGTTTTCATATAATTATATTGAAATGCAGATGCAACTTGTTTTACATAGATGTTCTTCTGAATAAAAATTATGTGTAAAGAAAGTGAATTAATTCATACTTTAAACCCACTAAGGGAGTGTTATTGTGTGAAGAAACACTGAAAAATCCTCTAGCAAAGGAAGAATCCCCCAGCTTATATCTTGTGCAGATCTTTTTTCATATATCTGTTTTGCTTAAAGTATACTTGTATGAGGGCAGTATGTAAGAGGGAGACAGGGCTGGCATAGGACAAGGGGGAATTATAGGTCAGTTATCTACTGAGATTTGAGAGTAGACACATTTCCAATACATTTTGGCCCATTGATTTTGAAGACGTAGTCCTCTTGGGCTTCTAACATGTACCTCTTGTTTTTACACTAGATCGAACGGTTGGAAGTAAGCAGCCTTGCCCAAACATCCAGTGCAGTGGCCTCCAGTACCGATGGCAGCATCCACACAGACTCTGTGGATGGAACACCAGACCCTCAGCGCACAAAGGCTGCCATTGCTCACCTGCAGCAGAAGATCCTGAAGCTCACAGAACAAATCAAGATTGCACAAACAGCCCGGGACGACAACGTTGCTGAATACTTGAAGCTTGCCAACAGTGCAGACAAACAGCAGGCTGCCCGCATCAAGCAAGTCTTTGAGAAGAAGAACCAGAAATCTGCCCAAACTATCCTCCAGCTGCAAAAGAAACTTGAGCACTACCACAGGAAGCTCAGAGAGGTAGAGCAGAATGGGATCCCCCGGCAGCCAAAGGATGTCTTCAGGGACATGCACCAGGGTCTGAAGGATGTAGGAGCAAAGGTGACTGGCTTCAGTGAAGGTGTGGTGGATAGTGTCAAAGGTGGGTTTTCCAGCTTCTCCCAGGCCACCCATTCAGCAGCAGGCGCTGTAGTCTCAAAGCCCAGAGAGATTGCCTCACTCATTCGGAACAAATTTGGCAGTGCAGACAACATCCCCAACCTGAAGGACTCTTTAGAGGAAGGGCAAGTGGATGATGCGGGGAAGGCTTTGGGAGTGATTTCAAACTTTCAGTCTAGCCCAAAATATGGTAGTGAAGAAGATTGTTCTAGTGCCACTTCAGGCTCAGTGGGAGCCAACAGCACCACAGGGGGCATCGCTGTAGGAGCATCCAGCTCCAAAACAAACACCCTGGACATGCAGAGCTCAGGATTTGATGCACTACTACATGAGATCCAGGAGATCCGGGAAACCCAGGCCAGACTAGAGGAATCCTTTGAGACTCTCAAGGAACATTATCAGAGGGACTATTCCTTAATAATGCAGACCTTACAGGAGGAGCGATATAGGTAAGTCACATGGAATTAATATCTGAAATTATTTGTGTAGGGTTCCCCTCCCTTTAGATATGGGGAAATGGCTTTTAAAAGTCTTTATCTTTCTCTAGAGTGTCCAGAGCACTTTCGGTATGTCATAAGACATCCACATGAGTTCCTGATGAAGCATTGCTGTAACTCTCCAGTCTTTCGTGCCAGTTTAGAACTTTAAAATGAAGTCCAAGCTTTCTAAAGTATTTCACCTATTTATTTATAATTATAAAACTACACAGTCATTGCAGCCTGTAACTGTACTACATTGAATTCAAAAGATCTGTAATTCTTAGAACTGTGTAGATATCAAAGATATCACCCAAGCAAAATGTAGTGACTTCTATAGGTATTTGGCCTTAAACACACATATCTGGGCAACTTGGTATAGAAAGATTAGACTGCAAACAAATCCAAATAAGAATGTTACCTTTATTATGAATTGACAAGTGTTTGAATGAGAGTGGACTTAAACATGAAATGGTTCTACAAGAGTTAGAAAATTCTCAAAGGGTTAAGTGCTTTGAATCATAGTCTCTGTTAAGGGTAGAAGCTGGTCTCGTTTTTGTGTTTAATATTACACTACATATTCATATTAGACCACTCTTGGCTATACTCTGAATATGTGTCCTTTCTCCTTGTTACCTTCACACGCAGAGAGAAATAATATTCTCGTCTGGAGAAATCCCATCTCTACTAAAAATACAAAATTAGCCGGGTGTGGTGGTGCATGCCTGTAATCCCAGCTACTCAGGAGGCTGAGGCAGGAGAGTCGCTTGAACCCAGGAGGTGGAGGTTGCGGTGAGCCGAGATCTCACCATTGTGTTCCAGCCTCGGCAACAAGAGCGAAACTCCGTCTCAAAAAAAAAAAAAAATTTTTTTCTAAGGATACATCCAAACTTTGTTAGCCAGAGACAGGCCACCTAATGCTGCAAATTGAGGACTAGTCTTATGGGAGCTACAGGTCAAGTTAGGCCTTGAAGGACCTGGGTTCTGGCCCTGTCCCGATTATTAACTAGAGAAAATCCTCAGTACTTCTACTGTAACATCAGGAGTTGAACAGATAATCTTTTAATATCCTTTTCACCTTTTAAAAATGTGTTTTTAAAAGTTTGCTTTTATAAGGTAATCTTAGGGTCTGAAACAAATTGTTCACATGTATAAATTATCTCTAAGAAGAGTTACAGCAGCAAGTTCGTTTCAGATGGTGAAAACTCTAATCAGTAATTCAGCCTGCCTCTTTTCTTACTCTTCTGTTCTTCAATTCTAACTTAAGACTTCAAGGGAGAAGACCAGAGAAGTGAGTGTGGGAGGGAGAAATAAAGTTCTAAAAGCAGATACTGTACATTACTATTTTTATTTAAGTGTTTTATAAATTCTTTAGTATGGCTGGGCACAGTGGCTCACGCCTGTAATCCCAGCAGTTTGGGAAGCTGAGGTGGGTGGACCACCCAAGGTCAGAAGCTTGAGACCAGCCTGACCAACATGGAGAAACCTTGTCTCTACTAAAAATACAAAATTAGCTGGGCATGGTGGCGCATGCCTGTAATCCCAGCTACTCAGGAGTCTGAGACAGGAGAATCACTTGAACCCAGGAGGCAGAGGTTGCAGTGAGCCGAGATCGTGCCATCACACTCCAGCCTGGGCAACAAGAGCAAAACTCCGTGTCAAATGAAAATAAAAATAAATTCTTAAGTATACTGAGAAGACAGTATCTTATTCAATAAGTGATATAACAGATATTCAAATGAACTCTAAAAGTAAAACACCTGTGTCTTTGTACCATATTAAACCTAACTCCCAAGTTCAAATTCCAGTTCTTCCCCTTACTAACCTTGAAAACCTGGGCAAGTTTCTTCAGTTCTCTTAAGTCTTGGTTTCCACATCCCTAACATAGAAATAGTAATAGTTCTTTATAAGATTATTGTGATATTTAAGTGAAATTATTTGGTTAAAGCACATAGCTCAGTGCCTGGCCCCATAGTGCTCTACTGATGTTAGGGGAACAGATGCTGTTAACCCCACTTAGAACATGAAGACATTCCACAGTCAGTTAAAAAAATTTTTAAAACCACACAAAACTGCCTACTTTGACTCCTCTATTTTTTGTTTTACATTGGTTTTGAGACAGAGTCTCACTTTATTGCCCATGCTGGAGTGCAGTGGTGCGATCTTGGCTCACTGCAGCCTCGACCTCCTGGGCTCAAGTGATCCTCCCATCTCAACCTCCTGAGTAGCTGGGACTACAGGTGTGCACCACCACGCTTGGCTCGTTTTTTAATTCTTTTGTAGAGACAAGGTCTCACTATATTGCCCAGGCTGGTCTTGAACTTCTGGGCTCCAGTGATCTGCCCTCCTTGGCCTCCCAAAGTGCTGGGATTACAGGTATGAGTCACCATACCCCGTCAACTCCTCTATTTTGAATGGATACCTTGTAGTTTTTAAATTGCCCCAGAGCTTAAAATTCATATAGAGCTTGTTATGTCTTCATGTCAAGATGTAGAAAGTCAAGATATGAGAAAATCAGAAACAGGTCTCTCAGGAGCCACCTTTGAATCCATTTAGTGTAAGTCGGAGACATAATAGGACAGAACGTTAGCTGCTCATTAACACCTCATTAGAAGAATTAAGTTCAAGCCATTTAGGAGGTAATGAGCAGTGCATTTCTTTCATTGCACTTTGGGTTCTTTCTAGTAGGTAAATGACTAGTTTTATGGAATGAAGACAGAACGAAGAAAACTTGAATTTTCAAAAAGAGAGTTAAAACCAGGAGGCAAGGAGAAGACATACTACGTAATCTGACTTGTTTTGTTTTCCCATTTCAGTTTTAGAATGACTTTTCCTTAAAACACAATCTTGAAGAAAGAAAGCCCTTTTTTTCCCCAAAAAAGGGAGTGGAAAAGTCACAACTATTGTACTTTATTTTTGTTGTTCCAATAATTCCCTGTATAAAGCAGATAGAGATTTCCCCTCCATTATATATGGCTTTATACAGTAAACATATTCATCTAATTTTGTTGATCTTTGAATGCTTTCACATAAATAAAATTTTTCTACAAATTGAAGTCTTTTTTTTTTTTTTTTTTTTTTTAAGAGTCAGGGTCTTGCTGGCCAGGCGCAGTGGCTCACGCCTGTAATCGTAGCACTTTGGGAGGCTGAGGTGGGTGGATCACAAGGTCAGAAGATTGAGACCATCCTGGCTAACATGGTGAAACCCCATCTCTACTAAAAATACAAAAAAAATTAGCCAGGCATGGTGGCATGCGCCTGTAGTCCCAGTTACGGGGGAGGCTGAGGCAGGAGAATTGCTTGAATCTGAGAGGTGGAGGTTGCAGTGAGCTGAGATCATGCCACTGCACTCCAGCCTGGGTGACAGAGTGAGACTCCGTCTCAAAAAAAAAATTAAAAAATAAAGAGTCAGGGTCTTGCTATGTTGCCTTGCTGGTCTTGAACTCCTGGGCTCAAGCAGTGCTTCCACCTCAGCCTCCTGAGTAGCTGGGACTGCAGGTGCATGCCACCATGCCTGGCTTTGAAATATATTTTCTTTTTGTTTTTTTGTTCTTTGTTTTTGGAGACAGAGTTTCACTCTTGTTGCCCAGGCTGGAGTGCAGTGGTGCGATCTTGACTTGCTGCAACCTCCGCCTCCTGGGTTCAAGTGATTCTCCTGCCTTAGCCTCCCCAGTAGCTGGGATTACAGGTGTCTGCCACCACGCCCAGCTACTTTTTTGTATTTTTAAGAGAGGCGGGGTTTTACCATGTTAGCCAGGCTGGTCTCGAACTCCTGACCTCAGGTGATCCACCCACCTCAGCCTCCCACAATGCTGGGATTACAGACATGAGCCACCATGCCCGGCCAGAAACCTATTTTAAGCACTGAAACTTTTCACATTTTAAGCATTTTGGGGAAATTTCTCTGCCTTCTTTTACAAAGTACACTGAATCTAACTTAATGGAAAGAGCTTAGATATGGTAGTATTCAGCTTAGAGTGATACTCTCAGGTTAGTGAAGCTGTCCATTTATGTGCCTCTACAGTAAATGGCCCTAGGCTTTTTTCAGTTTGTCTGCTTTTTTTATAGTTTTTTCTCCTTTCCATTTCTTCTCCACACTGTTAGTGAGCTACCCGCAGCAGCCTCTCTTTACTAATTCTACTTCTACTCTGTTGTAGGCTTTGCTTTTTGTGTAGGAAGAAAGTAGGCTGTGGATGGACTTCACAGATCCTTCTGTGACCAAGAACCAGTTAATGCATGCGTGGATGCTCAGGATACATTTTTTTTCTACGCTTTAGTTTATTTTACTAGTATCTGAGTTGATGAGAGGGAGGCCATGCACAGTGTTGCTGTTTGTTATTTGATGATGATGGTGACAAGGCCACTACCACGAACAGTGTTAAACTCCTGTGATGTGCCTAGTGCTAGATGTTTTACGTACATTTGCCAATCCTCACAGTAGGCCCTACAGGTAAATTGTATTATTCCCATTTTAAAGATGAGGAAATTGAAGCTCAGTGGGGTTTTAAAAGTTGCCAGAGGTCACTCAGTAAGTGGTAAAGCCAGGATTCAAAACCCAGTTTTGTCTGACTTCAAATTCAGTGTTATTTTCATACCAGGATGATTTTTTTCAAAGCTCAATCCCGAAATCTATATGGTTGAAAGCCTAGCTCTCTGAAGCATTAGATGCATTGGCAGTGGGTATTAGGCCTATCCCAAGTTGAAGTAAATGTTTACTAAAAGTTGAGTCACTGTTTTTAACATATTTTATAAAAATGCTATGAATATGCAAGCTCTGGAAAGTTTCCTAGGCCAGTACAGCAGTGTAAATAAATAGGTGAAACCTTCTTAAGGAAATCCCTACTTCGGTCATTATTTCCCCTTCTCAGAATCCCTTCTCAATAATGTCCTTCGCTTAATGTGTTTCCATTGCTGTCTACCCAAGTGAGTAGCTCCAAGTGAAGATAGTTGCCCAAGACCATCTGCCTAACTCTGGAATAATCAGAAGCATTCCAAAGCCTATAGAGCACAGTCTCTCTCTCTTCACCCACATAATTGTACCATGACTGACACATTATTTTTTCATTGCCCACATGCACTTAGCCCAGGAAGCCATTGTAGCAGAGCTTGGATCTGAACTCCACCTCAGCCTTTGACTAGTGACTAGGTATTGAGTTTTACCATTGTGCATTCAGCTATGAGTGAGATCATGTATTTGGGGAAGGCAGGAGACAAGGTTTAGAAATTTTTTTAAGTGATGAGACCTGTGCCAACTTCAGATTCTTGTCCAGTTAGTTTCTTCATCCCATGTTTTGTTAGTGGCAGCTGGGTTCACAGTACTTCAGAAGTAGAAGGGACCCTTAGATATCTAGATTAATCTTATTTACAGTTGAGAACACTGAAGCTCAGAAAGATAAAGTGACTTTTGCCAGGTCACACAGTAAAATGGTTTTACATATATTTAATTTGCTGCTAGAAACTGAGGATTAGTTTTGTTCCTGTAGTGAGTGTAAATATATTAATAGGCTACCAAAAGGAAAAGTTCAGCTGTGGCAAAATGTACTGAAAATAAGAGAGAGCTAGGAAAACATTAATTGAGAATTTTGCTGGTTTCTTTGGTAGTTTTTTTCTTAGGGGATCTGGCCTGGAATCCTACTGAGCTACTGTAGCCTGTATAAAGCAGTGTCATGTAGGGCAGGCTAAAAACCCCCCAGGTGTTGATGAGCATTAATGCCATTTTGAAAGCTTGTATTTGAAGGGGATTACTGTCCATTGGAAATCGGCTTCTGAGAAAGTTTGTATTAAACCCGGGGATATTTTAAATTGCACTGAGTCATAAGAGCAAAAATACAGGAGACAGTCACCCTGAGCAGTTGTCACATGCAGTAGAACAGTTAGTAACTAGGCTGACCCAATTAGGCACAGGCTGTTAGAGTTCTAACTAAACAAATGGTTGTTTAAATATAATTTTAGTTGATTTGACCATCATTGGACATAACCCAATGATGTATGCTCAGATGTATGCTCAGAGGTACCTGTTTTAGCCCCTTTATTCTATGTGTGAGACCTGTCAACTGAAAAGTGATCTGAGAATCTCCAGACGATATGTAGGCTAGATTTGGACAATAAGTTTGAAATAGAAACTGAGGGTACTGAATCAAATTAGCCCTTCATTTATGAGAGAAGCAAAATCCCAATTAGGAAATATGACGTATACAATCTTCCATAAAAGAGATTTATGGGTGAGCTCATCCCAGTTTAGCGTTTAGCCGCTAAAGAGGAATGGAGGGGATTAATTAATTAACCCTTATTCCTTGGAGTGGACAAACTTGAATTTGCTTGCCAGCTCTGAGTAGATTACATAACTCATCTGAGCCTCAGTTTCTCCCTCTGTAAAAATGTAATGATATTTATTGTACATGGTTGTTGAAGTTATTAAAGGAGATAACATATATGGAAGTACCTAGTGTGATGTTTGGTTTAGAGTAGGAGCTCAACAAATGCTCCCTCCTCCTCCATTTTTTCTAGGGGAATACAAAGATCTGGGTTGTGCCAGAATGTTAGAAAGCTGTCATTACCAAGTCTGCAAGTTGCCCAGAAAGCCCCTCTAGTTTTTATTTATTTCCTGTATTATTTAGATATTTACTGTTTTCTTGTCATTAAGATAATTCATTGCCTACCCTTGAAATATTGTGGGGGACTGATATCTTTTTCCCTTTTCAGCTGAAGGCTAGTTCAGTGTTTTTTAGCTTCTTTTCAGGCTTCAACACAAAAAAGGTAACAAAAGGTAAGGAGAAAAAAATCCACTCTCCCCAATTCAGCTAGGAACCTATTCAAACTCCCACCGCAAGTCATACTCCCTACCCCAACTGTGTCTCTCTACTCTGGTCAAACACTGGCAGAAGCTATTTTGGGTCTCTGGTATGCATTTGGGAAATAGTCCATTCTTCTCCCATAGTTGCCTGTGGGTGTTTTTCCTGGGACCTAGTTCTTCCTGTTTCTCTCAATACCTGCTCCACAAGTTTCTTCAGCTATCCTGTGCTAGTGACCTATTGCCGAACTAGGGAAGCACCATTGGTTCTCAGAGATGGCTCCAAACTTTTGAGCCACACCCAAAGAGGAATGCTTCAGGTCAAAGCATTCCCAGGCTGTGTACTCACCCAGGCTCCCATTCATCAGTAATTTGACACAAAAGGCCCCTGGCTCATCTCTGATCTAGGAAGTTGACTACTGTGTTGACCTAGTGACCAAAACACTTTCAAGTTTAGTATTTATTTATGAATTATTTACCTACGACAAAATCTTGATGTGTTTAATACTTTGTAGATAGAACAGGTTTTGCTTCCAGTGGGGGATGAATTTCATCTACCAAAATATGATACTTGCTTTTAGAAAAAATAATCTTACAGTGCAAAGGCTTTCTGTTTGCTGATAGTTAAGCTCATGCCATATTTAAGTGTCCAGGTTCTCTTTGGGTTGTAACAATTTAGGAAGGACCTTGAGTAAAAATCCTTAAAATAAGATTATTAATCTCATGCTACTTGTAATCCAAGCGGAGGTGCGTGAACATCATTTGCCAGCCAAAATCACACATAGTCATGTGCTGAATAATGACATTTTGATCAACAACATATAAGACAGTTGTTTCATAAGTTTATAATGCTGTTTTTGTTTTGTTTTGTTTTTTTGAGATGGAGTCTCACTCTTGCCCAGGCTGGAGTGCAGTGGTACAGTCTCGGCTCACTGAAACCTCTGCCTCACGGTTTCAAGCAATTGTCGTGCCTCAGCTTCCAAGCAGCTGGGATTACAGGCATGCACTACCAAGCCTGTAATGCCATATTTTTAGTGTGCCTTTTCTATGTTTAGATATGTCTAGATACACAAACACTATTGTATTACAGCTGTCTGCAGTTGCCTATGGTACAGTAACTTGCTGTACAGCTTTGTAGCCTAGGAACAATTGACTGTACCATACAGCCTAAGTGTATCATAGGCTGTACTATCTAGATTTGTGTAAGTACACTGTATGGTGTTCACATAGTGATAAAATAACGTAACAACTCATTTCTCAAGATGTGTCCCCATCATTAAGTGAGGCATGACTGTTCTTGTATGATTAAGAACCTCCCACCCACCCACCATCTCCTCTGCCCCGATTTGTGTCTGGAGAGTTCTATTTAGCATCCTGTAAAGGGGTTAAAATTCCTTAAAGCAGAGTTCTAGGTTTAAAAAAAACCCAAGACTTTCACATATGAAAGTCTATAAAACATGTATCTTCCCTTTTTCTCCCCTACTGTTTGGCTTGGTGTTAATATTTAATGAGAAGATAGAGGTATTTGTACCTGGTTTCTCCATTTTAGAATTTAGACAGGAAGTAAACACTAGAAAATAAAGTGTGCTAAGAAGATTATAATATTAGTAATGGGGATAGTGGGAAGTCAGTGGGAACTAGAATACAGGTTTTTTTTTCCTTTCGTTATTTGCATTTCATTAACAATACAGAATTTTTTTGTCTTCTCTTTGAGACAAGGTCTTACTCTGTCACCCAGGCTGGAGTGCAGTGGCACAGTCTCAGCTCACTGCACCTCTGCCTTCCATGCTGAAGCAGTCCTCTCACCTCAGCCTCCCAAGTAGCTGGGATTACAGGCACATGCCACCACACCAACCTGATTTTTTTTGTATTTTTAGTAGAGACAGGGTTTCACCATGTTGCCCAAGCTGGTCTGAAACTCCTGGGGTCAAGCAATTTGCCCAGTCAAAAAGTTTTTAAAAAGACAATAATCTAATAACAGGCACAAGCCAATTGGTTCAGATCCTTATTAAACCTCACTACTAACTAGGGAGTCACTGCATCCTTCTGGGACTCCTGTTTTTGTTTGTGGGTTTTTCTGTTTGTTTGAGACAGGTTCTTGCTCTGTCACCCAGACTGGAGGGTAGTGACACAGTCTCGGCTCACTGCAGCCTTGACCTCTCGGGCTCAAGTGATCCTCCCACCTCAGCCTCCTGAGTAGCTGGGACTGCAGGTGCATGCCACTATGCCCAGCTAATTTTTGTATTTTTTGTAAAGACAGGGTTTTGCTATTTTGCCCAGATTGGTCTCCATGTTTGTCTGTTTCATCTGCTGAGATCATTCTACTTACCCAAATGCTGCTTTGCTATTTAGCTGCTTGCTAACAAAGCATTATCTCTGTGAACAATAGTTACATTTTCTTATTTGGGAAGACTCAGCTTGAGAAGAACTTGCTGTTAATTTCCCATGTAACTGTGAATAAATTGTTCAACCTCTAAAGGACTTTATTTTCTGTAAGAGCATGGTGAGGATTAGCAGTTTCTATATAACTCTTTTTGGAGATTTGAAAAAATTAGATAAAATTTACTTGAGCTGGGCACAATGGCACAGGTCTGTAGTCCCAGCTACTCAGGAGGCTGAGATGGGAGGATCACTTGAGCCCAGGAGTTTGAGGCTGCAGTGCACCATGATTATGCCTCTGAATAACCACTGTACTCCAGCATGGACAACATAGTGAGACTCTGTCTCTAAAATAAAAAAATAAAAATTACTTGAGACACCTTTCCTCACACACATACATAGGTAGATAGTTTCACCAGTACAAAGGAAAGTTTGGAAATGGCCAGTGCATGGAACTATTTGAATTATCTGGCAAACTTGAGCCAGGGAAATGGCAGGAACCTAGATGTATGAAATAAGAAGTAAAAGAGGCTTGTATCTAGGATTGAGGAGGATGGAGTGTGTGCCCAGTAAACCCATTTCTGTGATGTCATAGGAAAAACATCATAAATATACTGAAAACAGTGAAAATGTCAAAATATATAAAATTGGGAAAGTGGACATAAAGAAATGAAGACTTAAGGCCATGGACAGTGGCTCATGCCTGTAATCCCAGCACTTTGGGAGGCCAAGGCAGGAAGATCACTTCAATCCAGGAATTCAAGACCAGCCTGGGTAACATGGCGAAACCCCGTCTCTACAGAAAATACAAAAACAAAATTAACCGGGCGTGGTGGCACATGCCTGTAGTCCCAGCTGCTTGGGAGGCTGAGGTGGAAGGGTCACTAGAGCCTAGGAGATTGAGACCACAATGAGCCACGATCACGCCACTGCACTCCAACCTGGGCGACAGAGAAAACCCTGTCTCAAACAAACAACAACAACAAAGGCTTAGAGAAAAAAGTCAGAAGTGGGAATCAGTGAACAGTGGAGTAAGACTATGTGGCAGTCAACAAGCAATCTTTTTGAACTACCTCGCTAGGGATTGTTGGGGAGAACTAGGAGACTCACAAAAGAGAAAAATGAAACCAAATGTATATTTGTGATATATCTGTCTCACAGAGCACCTCTTGTGTGCCAGGTATTTGATGTCTGTCTTCTCCTTTAATCTTTGCAATTGC
Organism: Homo sapiens; assembly: GCF_000001405.40. Taxonomy (NCBI): domain Eukaryota; kingdom Metazoa; phylum Chordata; class Mammalia; order Primates; family Hominidae; genus Homo; species Homo sapiens. The sequence goes on along the minus strand of NC_000003.12, from coordinate 129,659,913 downwards.
CCTTTGGAGTAGGTAGATTTCCTCTTTATAGAGGATGAAAAGGATCACCCAAGCTAGCGAGTTGCAGAGCTGGGATTTTAATCCAAAACCTGGACTGAGCACATGCATTAGCTGGTACAAACTGCATTATGAAAACATTTCTAGGTGCAAAATGGCAGGAGTGAAGATGGAGCACCTCTAGACATAATATGGGATGAACCAAAATCTAGTTTGAAAATGACTTCCAGAACCTTTGACAGGTTTGCAACCTTCTTATGATAAACATTGGTTTATTGTAAGGTTCAAAAGTGTTGGGAATAAGTGCTGAGGACTTTTGCAAGTATTCTCTGATTCATATATATTCCTCACCACCTCACATACCAAGTGAATCCCAATATTTCACACCTGATTTTACATAGTTCTTAAATTACCACTATTTTGTGTACCTCCTTGCCCCCCTTTATTGTTGTTAAAATCAATACGTTGTGAAGGCAAATATACCACAAAATTTAAAGTATCTATAGTTTGAAAGATGAAAATAGCCAGGTGTGGTGCCCCACACCTGTAGTCTCAGCACTTTGGGAAGCTGAGGCAGGAGGATTGCTTGAGCTCAGGAGTTCAAGACCAGCCTGGGCAACATAGTGAGACCCTGTCTCTGAAAAAAAAAAATAGCCAGGCTTGGTGGTGCATGTCAGTAGTCCCAGCTACTCAGAAGGCTGAGGTGGGAGGATCCCTTGAGCTCTGGAATTTGAGGCTGCAGTGAGCCATGATTGCACCACTGCACTCCACCCTGGGTGACAGAGCAAGACCCCATCTCTTTAAAAAAAAAAAAAAAAAAAAGAAAGAAAGAAAAAGGAAAACAGGTTCCCTGACTACAAAGAATCAAACTCTAGGTGTTAGAAAAGATCTCAGAGGTCTAGTTAAATCTCTTTCAATAGAGGATTTATTTCTGCAACATCCCTGACAAGCAGCCTCTCCTTGAATATCTCTGGTAGCAGGGTCTCATTTTCTAAGATAGTTTTTTTCATTGTTAGACATAGCTATTAGAAAGTTCTTTCTAAAATTGAACTAAAGACCAAACTATTTGTAAGACTTACTCCTTAGTTCTGTGGAGTTACAAAGAACAAGCTACCCCCTCATTACATGAGCTCTTGATACCTGAATTCAGCAGTAGGAAGTAGTTCCCTATTTCTATAGAATTAATCCCTGGTAAAGTCTTGGCTGCACTTGAATCTGTCAATATCATTTTGAATTCAGTCTGCTGTTTCACCTCTTTCTTGCCTCATGTTATTTGTAAAGATAAGCATGCCTTGTATTTTGCTGTCTTCATACTGGGTCTGAACAAAAAAGGCCAGGCAGGTAAGGTCAAAGCCGAGTCAGAGCCCACAGGCTGCTGCTAGAGAATATCTCAGGCCCCAGTCCTGGGAATTATTCTTGCTAGAGTGACATACATGTTGTTGTACAGACAGTCCCTGGCTAACAATGGTTTGATTTAAGCCCATCATAAATGGGAAATATTGTTTTCAGGAAGTAACCCCATCGTAAGTCAAAGAGTGTCTGTATATTATGAAAGGTCAGGTGAGAAGATGAGGAAAGGATAACAACAGCCTTCCTGCTCCTGTGAACTGTTTCTGCAGTAGGAAGGAAGTCCATGTTGTGGGAGTGAAGGCATAAGTCAGCCTATTTTGTAGTTTTGCCTAGGGCTCGGGATCTTCATATGCATACATGTAGTGAAAAGCAAAACTGTGTTCACATTTGTGTTTTATGTTCTAATGTTTCTGTGAGCATCCATCGATTGAAGGAGAAAGGAAGAAAGTGAACAGAAACTTGCCAGGTGGCAAATGACAAGCAGATTAGGATACAAAATATTGATACTTGACTTGTGAACAGCCAAGATGATATATTGTTGTACAGTGAACACTCGTATACATATGGGTTGTTTATACTTTTTGGCAATGATGATTAATGCTGGTGTGAACATTCATGTACAAGCTTTTGTATAGAAGAAATAAGTTTTCATTTCTTTTCAGTTATATCTGGGGTAGAATTGCTGAGTCATAAGGTAACTGTTAACTTTTTGAGGAGGTGCCAAACTGTTTTGCAGAGCAATTGTACCATTTTCCATTCCCAACAGCAGTATATGAGGGTTTAGATTTCTCCATGCCCTCACCAACTCTTATCTTTTTAATTGTAGGTTCATAATTTTTTATTATACTCCTCCTTCTCCCATCAACTCCACTTTGACATCAGACTCCAAACCATCACATCAGTGTAGCTCTTTCCAGCTCACTTTTGCTAAGTGATTTGGATCGCTAGCACTCTGACTCTGATTTCTTACTTATGAGGAGAGTTAGTTGATCTGGGTTTGTAGAGTTTCAAAATGGCATCACATTGTAAAGTTTAAGAACTTGGATTTTAAAGTCAAAACTGGATTCAAATCCTTGCTGCCCTACTTAATATTTTTGTGCCCTTGGGCAATTCACTTTAGAACTTCTCTGAGCTTCTGTTTCCTCATCTATAAAATGCAGATAATACCTTCTACCCTCTTGGGGTTGTTGAAATGAATTTGCATAGTAGGCACTGATTAAACTGTTGCTGTGGCTGCTATTTTTTAATCTGTTCTACTGGTATGTATGAGCCATGTTTAATATCAAATAAGATTCCTAAGAAGCCTGAAATTTGTAGGCTAAGAGGTTGTGTGGTAGCCTGTGGGACACATGCAGAGATCCCACATGTGTCTGCTTTTATCAAGATGTAGGCTGGTGACCACCACCCTGCTCCCCTCCCTGCCACCCAACAGTCCTTAGTTGAGGAGAGTAATTTCCTGCCAGATATAACCTTTCCCTTAAATCCCAAGAGACCAGCACTTTGGAATGCGGCTTTAAAAAAGTCTCTGGCCCCTCTCTGGTAAAGAGAGAGAATGATGAAACTATCAAACACCGAAAACACCACAGAAGAGTGGGCTAACATAGGACAGTCACGAAAAGACATTATGTTAACATTATCTTATGGCATTTTGTGAACTTAAATTTTGGTGGAAAATCAATTCTAGGGATGGGACCTGTTCCTGATCACGTACTCTGGGCAGCAGATGAAAGGAAAAGGCAGAGTCACAGAGAACTTTGACCCTAGTTATCCATCAAAAGTAGGACTGCTTTCTCATTAGCCTGTTCAGTCACTTCAATAACAGGAAGAGTTTCAGCATAAAAGAAGGCAGTATAGAGACTCCTATCAAGGATAAAGAAGAACTAAATAGAGTTTAGTAACATCGTAAAAAGGGTAAGACAATGCCTTTTAAAAAAATCCTTGTTTCTTAGAAAAGCAGTGGAGTTTAGGATATAATTATTTATTGCATAATTATTGGAAGGGAGAATGTTTATGATGCTGCAACATAAAAATTACCTTAAACACAGAAATTCATTATATTCTTTAAAAGTTTGTTTACATATTATAGATGTGATTAAAAAGAAGAAAGAAAGGAGATAGTTTTAGATGTGTGAGTTTGTTCTGGCATTTTTATTCTTTTAGTATGAAGTCCCTTGAGACTCACATGCTGGTGTTAATGTTAAATGTATGCTACCTGAGTGATAGTACATTCCCTGTTGGGATGAGAGCTACCCATCTGCCCTCTGCCTGACAGAGAGGTTTCCATTCTAGGCACCAGAAGCTAGACATATGTTTATTCTTCCCTTTTCTAGTGTTTTTTAAATGTGGAGTCTTCAACCTTTCTCCTATCTACTTAGCTCTTTAGTTCCTGGGACTCCACATACAACCTACCTCAGTCGGTCTTCTTCACCACTATGAGAAGACTCGTTTTCCTAAAAACACATATTCATCATGTGACTCCTCTGCTCAGTAGTCTTCTTTGGGCTCATTTAATATCAATTCTAGAATCCCAACTCTTCGGATCTTCCAGATTTCCCATTTTTTCCTCCAACATAGATGCACTATTCTAGTTATTCTGTACATTTATCATCCATTTCTCTCCAGCCCTTTACTCACATTCATTTTTCCACCTAGAATCTCTGATCTCATCCTTTAAACCTTTTCTAGGCTGGGCATGGTGGCTCACGCCTGTAATCCCAGCACTTTGGGAGACCAAGGCAGGCGATCACCGGCACTCTGTCTTATACCTCTACTGATCTTCTTTGTTTTACTTCTCCATATGGGAAATCATCTTGCCTCCCCCACTCCTTAGAGTACAAACTCCTGAGGGCAGGCACTCTGTCTTGCTTACCACAATATTCCCAGTACTTTGAACATGCCTGGTACATAGCAGGCTCTCAGTAAATATTTGTTGACAGAAGTGTCCCAGACACTTGTGTTTGGCCATGGGGATGATGGACCCCTCTGGCTCTGGCATTCTAGGGCTCTGAATCGCAAACATCCGGGTGAGTGAGCTGGCCAGTTCTGGAATAAGCTACTGGTGACTGCCAGAAGGTTGGTTTCCATTGGTGTGTTATCTTTTCATGAGGCTTGCTTAATTGTACCCTAGTTTTTGCCTCTCCCATATGTTGTTCAGAGGAGCCTAATGACTGTCTTAATATTATGGTTATGCTCAAAGCTAATCAGGGCTGCTGGCATCGCTGCAAATACTGTGTATTGAAAAGATTATGGAACAGCCATGTTGCCACGTGATTTGGCCTTGAGACAAGCTATCTTTTCCAGAGACTAAGAGCTATACCCACTGGCACACCCTGTTAACCCAGGCCACTCAATTTCTTTGTGCTTCTATTCCTTTGTAGAATGTGTTTTGGGAGTTGGATGTAAATAATGCCAGGAAAGATATTCACAGAATTCATAAAATTCTAAACTTTTTTTTTCTCCTTAGATGTGAACGATTGGAAGAACAGCTAAATGACCTAACAGAGCTCCACCAGAATGAAATCTTGAACTTGAAGCAGGAACTGGCAAGCATGGAAGAAAAAATCGCGTATCAGTCCTATGAACGGGCCCGGGACATCCAGGTTAGTATGAAGGAAAAGGTGTAAATGCAAAATACAGTAGGGTTAGAAAGAAAAAAGGAAAACAGCGGAAGGAAAAAAGATGAGAAGGTAGAGAACAAAGAAAAGCTTATACCAACTGTGTAAGAGTATACCTACTCTTAAAATGATTGAGATGCATTTCTCAAAAGTTTATACCATTTTGGGTTGGTATGTCTGCTTGGTACTTGGGAAATGTTTCTTAGGATCACAGTAATCTCAGTGTATGGAAAACCACATGAATCCTATTTGTCCATTACTGCTTCAAAAGCAGCTCTGACAAGTATTTGGGCCATTTTGTCCTTGTCTTCTCCTTCTGTGGGAAAGGGGGCTTTTATTCCAGCTGCCAAATCCAAATCTCATATAGGCACATTGCCTGACAGTTTGCAAGAATAACCCGTGAGGCAGTAATGTTTAATTAAGGCTAATAGCCCATCTATTTTATTCTGTGAGGAAGTAGAATATTTAATTTTTTCTTATTTCTATATGGAGGTATTTAGGGAATAGTTCTTAGTGGTTTCATATGAAAGCATTTTGAAAGACACTAGTCTCAGAGAAGGGAAGTGGGCCAGAAAACTTGTATTACAACAGCCTAAAAGAATCAAGGGAATGTCTAGATCATTTACCCAGATGCCATCTTCTTCAGGCCCTGCTTATGTTTTAATTATTTTTTCCTAAGATCCTTCTGGACTGGACAGCATCCATTGTCTGTCTATAGTTGGCGTCAGTCTGAAGTTGCCCAAGCCTTACCTCAAATCCCAGGAAACCAGGACCAGAAAAACTCAAGGCTCAGACCAACTTTGGAGGATATCTGACCATAGCTAGGGAAATAGGTTCTATCCCTTGAATACTTTGGAATTAATTTAAACTCATGAGTGAAGGCTATGACCTTGAGGAGAACAGACACTTTTTTTGGGGGGGTTGGGGGGAGGTGTGGGAATTAGGCGTATGTTAAATGGAAGCTTTTTTCTAATTGCATATGTTATAAGACAAGTTGTTATTAGTTACTGGTAATTCTAAACATTAGACTCATTAATGTATTAGCACTTTATGTCACTAATGCATTACTAATGTTTCATTAATGTATTAGTATTTTACACTATTTTCAAGTTTTTTTAGTAATTGAGCGATACAGAATATACAATCAGGTCTTGGTAATATAGACTTTTAAATTAAATAATATAAAGTTAAAAAATAGCAAGAACAGGCCGGGCATGGTGGCGCACGCCTGTAATCCCAGGGGATTTGGGATTTTGGGAGGCCGAGGCGGGCGGATCACAAGGTCAGGAGATCAAGACCATCCTAACACGGTGAAACCCCATCTCTACTAAAAATACAAAAATTAGCCGGGCATGTTGGCGGGCACCTGTAGTCCCAGCTACTCAGGAGGCTGAGGCAGAAGAATGGCCTGAACCTGGGAGGTGGAGCTGGCAGTGAGCTGAGATCGCGCCGCTGCACTCTAGCCTGGGTGACAGAGCGAGACTCCGTCTCAAAAAAATAGCAAGAATAGACACTTTTAATGTTTGGTCTAGTGTGTGGGCATAGTGTCCTCTTTACAGAGGATCAAACTAAAGGAGAGTGTGCCCTTCTTAAGAAGGCAGATCAGAGATCCCTTTCCACTGATGTCAGGGATTGACTTGACTTAGAAAACACCAGGTAGTGTGTATAAGGAAGCATGTTCAAAGAATGTTCACTGCATCATTGTTATAGTGGAAAAGTTGAAAACAACCTAAAAATCCCCAAGGGGGAACTAGCTGCATATATTATAACATAGCCTAGCCATACTATAAAATGCCAGGCAGCAGTTAAAAAAAAATGAGGTAGATTCTGTGTATTGACATGGAGAGATCACCAAGACCCACTGTTGAATGAAAAAAAAAGCAAGTTGTGAATCGATTCCTATAGTGTGATACTATTCCATGTTTGGAAAAGCCAAACCCTGTAAAATATTTTAAAGAGGTTTATTCTGAGCCAATACAAGTAACCATGGCCTGGGGAACACAGTCTGAAGAGGTCCTGAGAAAATATGCCTGAAGCAGTTGGGTTACAGTTTGGCTTTATACATTTCAGGGAGACAGGAATTGTAGGTAAAATCCTAAATCAACACATGGAAAGTATACATTGGTTTGGCCCAAAAAGGTGGGCCATCTCTAAGTAGGGGCTAACAAGTCATAGTGGGCTTTAGGAATTTTTTAGCTGGCAGTCGGTTGAAAGAGTTAAGCTTTGTGTAAAGACTTGAAGCCAGTACAAAAATGCCTAAGTTAACGGAGTCTGTTGTCTGTCATGTGATGCTATACCTGAGTCAGGTTGGAAAGAAAGCCACATTAACACCAGTTAATTTTTTTAAAAACTGATGAGATTTTATGGTTTATAGGGTGAGATTTAACCTTGTCTGGCATGGCCTTAGGTCTTGTTTATAATTTGATGTCTTACTGCCACAAAGAGTCCATTCTGTCAGTCTTATGATCTCTATTTTCACATTAATGCTGGTCATTTGTGCCACAACTCAAAAAGGGAGGGGATATAATAAGGCATGTCCAGCCTCTTTCCCATCATTGCCAAGAACTCACTTTTTCAGGTTTCTTTGGGGTCCACTTTGGCCAAGAGGGAGTCCGTTCATTTGGCTGGGGGTCTTAGGATTTTATTTTTAGTTTACAGATAGGAAATAAAAATAATAATTCCGTATATTTTCCTTGACACATATATGCATACACTTACACACATAAAAGGGTGAACACAAACAGTACTGCCTCAGGGACAGGGATTGGAATTGAAGGAAATGTCAAGAGAGACTATCCTATTTGAAATTTTTTATGTTGAACAAATATATTCTGTGCAACTTAGATTAATTTTCAATGAAAAAAGAGCATATATTTGTGGTCTTGTCATTAAAATGTTCTAGACTAAATAAATGTTAAGTGTGGCCACTGCTTCCTGTGACTCATCCCACTGGAATGCAGTGGAGGGCAATTTGGGGGAATAATAATCACTTGAATAGTGAGTTATACATCTAGCCTTTTACATTCATTCAAGGCTCCAGCATATTTATAAAATCATTGGCATTGCTCAAGATGCATCTGGCTTGCCCAGGGGGCATGTCAGCATCTCAGAATACTTGTGAGCAGAAGGCTTAACTCTTCCCTGTTCTGGCCCACAGGAGGCCCTGGAGGCATGCCAGACGCGCATCTCCAAGATGGAGCTGCAGCAGCAGCAGCAGCAGGTGGTGCAGCTAGAAGGGCTGGAGAATGCCACTGCCCGGAACCTTCTGGGCAAACTCATCAACATCCTCCTGGCTGTCATGGCAGTCCTTTTGGTCTTTGTCTCCACTGTAGCCAACTGTGTGGTCCCCCTCATGAAGACTCGCAACAGGACGTTCAGCACTTTATTCCTTGTGGTTTTTATTGCCTTTCTCTGGAAGCACTGGGACGCCCTCTTCAGCTATGTGGAACGGTTCTTTTCATCCCCTAGATGATGCTGGCACAGAAGGCATTGTTCCCTACCCTCTGGCGAGTGCATGCAGCAGAGAGTTAGACAGCAACTTACCTACTCTGAAGTTTTCTACAACAAAAAAAGAGTTGAGTGAATCTGTTTACATTTAGAATAATGTTTTTTTCTTCAAGAGACGCAATTGCAATAGTATTTTTTAGATTTTATCCAAGAAGTTTTTTGGGCGAAAATCTTGGATCATTTTTATGTAGCATGATTTTCCTTGGGATGCAAATCTTAAAACAGTCCTTTAATATGAACCAACAATCTGGAGCACACCGAAGGGCAATCTAAATTGTGGCTTGAAGGACTGCACTAAAACCCACTAAAAAGATGCGAAAACCTGATGAGGGCAAACCAGTTAAACCTAACACCCTGCCTTGTCTGGGCTCATCACCTCTCCCTATCCCAGACTAACTTTACTGTGAAATCCTACCACATTCCATGTCTGAATTTTTGGATTCGGGGTGGATTTTCGTTGTCCGTGGAAGAACACATGGATCTCTCTGGCTTTCTCACCCAAGTTGGCCACTTACGCTAATCCTGGAAGTATGATCACTTTTGAACCTGCCCCTTAACCTTGACGAGGATACAAAAGTGAAAGCATCATCCCCCAAAGGATCACTGCACAGTCCTACTACAGTATTTTTAAGTAGCCCTCTAAATACTTAATTTTAAGCAAAATCCCTTGGCCGCACTTTTAAGGTTTTTTTATATGTGTATAGTTACCAACCTAAAAATAAAAAATCCGAACAGCATACTTGAAGAATGTAATACTCAAACTCTCAGTGCTTCCTTATGGTTTCTAATAGGATTTTTTATTATTGTTATTATTATTATTGGGTTTTTTTGGACAGGGTTGGGAGGGTCTTTTATTTTTCCTTTGAAATAAAGAAGTGATGTTTTTAAATGAAGAAATGTGTGGATATTTAAGTGTGCTGCTCCCTCTTGTCTTGAAACAGTTTGAGTAAGAAAGTCTTGCTGTAAATGCTGCCCTCTGCCGCCTTTGTTTTGAGATGCAGTTTAAACTCCCTCTGGCTGCTGCTGCTGCTTTTTGGTGTCCCGACATACCTACGCCCCCGTTTTATGGGTTTGGCTTAGTTGAAGAGGAAAGGGTTGTGCAAGGAGAGCAGGAGGCTGTTTCCAAAAACCAGTGTAGTAGGATAGGGATTTTTTTTTTTTTTTTTTGCCCCAAGAAAACGTTCACCCAGTGATCTTGGGCTGGGGTTGTCTTTAGGAAAAGTTGAGACTATAAGAGTCATAAATAAGTCCTTGTGTTTCCTTAATTTATTTTGTTAACACCCCTAATTACAACCAAAGTGATGATGTGGAGTCTTCTGTCTTCATTTTGGCCCCAGCATTCTTAATTTCAAAGCTTTATTCTGTCTGCCTAAGAGAATCAACCAAAGGTGATTCTCCTAAAGAGCAGTGAAGGAAATGTCAGGTTAGCAGGACCCAAGTTTTGGGTGTGAAATGTTGCCAGCTTCCTATAATGTAAACGGACTTGTTAACCTAACCTAATTATGCTCAGTGGACTTCTATAGATGGTTTTGAAAAATGAACTGAGCTGCCTTCCCCCGTCGCATAACCAGTTCCATCATCCTGGTGGAACTTGAACATTTAGAGTTTATCTAGAGAGCTTGGTTAATCTTTCCATATTATTTGTAGTATTGGTCACAAATGCTGTTCCCTCTTAGCCTCATTCTGTGCAACCAAGTGCATATAAGATGCCCTGAAAAGAGTAACAAAGTATGCTTTGCCTGTTTCCACTTACCAGGAAATTCCTTCAGAACTAGATTAGCATTGCCCTGCCTGTCTGAAAGGACAGTTTACCTAATGGTGCCAGCCTCCTTTTGCTTTGGCAAGCTGGATTTCTCAGAGCCAGCATGTTGTTTCCATAACTACTTTGATATTTTAACTCAGGTACTCCAGTCTTCACCCCAACCTCAGCTGATTGTAGTACACCTGCTAGCTCTGTTGCCCCCTCAAAACTGCACCCAGAGCAGGGCCACAAGGGTGCTTTTTTTCTTTAAAAAAAAAAAAATTAGAACCAATTCATGTTCATGCCAAAAACAAATTGTCCCCAAGCCTATATGTATTAAAATGTTAACTTTGCCTAAAAATATTGCAGTGACTTTTTAGGCAGGAGTGCCAAAGGACACTATGAACTTTTTGAACTGACAGTTTCTCCTAACTTTCTGCTTTAGCGTAATTGCTCAGAGTAGAGAGCCCCCACAAAGTTATTTAAAAGATGCCCTAGCAGCAATCCACCAGTTTTTCTAAGCTAGAACCTTTGAGTCCCCCAAACTGCCTGAAGACTTAAGTTTTGTGGGCACTGGAAGTCACTTTGATAGATGGATTGAAACTGTTCCTATTTGCCCTGGGACGGTTTCTATCTATCAAAGGAAGGTTTTCACCTGTAGAAAGCCCCCTGCCTCCAGCCAAATAGTCCCATGCTGACTTTCTATCTTCCTTTCTCAAACTGTCTTAGGAAGGACCTTCAGTGCAGATCAGGTGCAGTAATGGCTTTCTTGTCCCTTAATTATTCACCAGACCCAGAAGTTGTACGCATTTAATGCTGTTTGTAACCATGCATCTGTTTTCATTCTTTGCTGTACCTTTTGCTGCCCATCCTGTTACTTTTGAGTTTCTTTCATTGTGGTTGTTCTTGGGTTCTTTTGTCTTGTCAGAGCTCTTCTATAACCTCGCTCTAATGGCTTAACAGTTGTTCTGGGTGGAAACGTCCCCTCATTTGAATGCTCCTCTAAAAAAAAAAGAAAAGAAAACTGTATTCATTCCCTTTAAAATGAAACATTCCTGGTTTATTTGTCCATGCCTCTAGCCTGGGTGAGTGAAGCTGGCTGTGTTGGCCTGGGTGATTGTTCAGGTTGTAGAATGCGCATTTTACATTGTTTATGATAATTGAAGGGTACTTCTGTCTGCTCCAATTTCCATTCCTTGGTATACTCAGTATGTCCTAGTAAGGAAGGCTTTCCACTCTACTGGCTCCTTAAGAAGCAAAAGTAGGTTAAATTTTATACTTCACTGACTAGGGTCTTCTCTCTCCCCTGTTCTGAATGGAGTAAAAGTCTGATGCCAAGACAAATATTGGGAGCGAGCCTTCCTCACTAGCCATGTCCAAATAATGAGCGTATTTTCATGTGGTCTTCACTGCATTTGGTTTTGTTTCTGATTTCATGTTCCTTTGAGGTACAGTCAGATGAAAATGCTGAGTTCTGAGAGAGTTCCAATGAGGAGCTGCCTTTCAGCTTTGGAAAATATGCAACTAAAACAAAACCAAACATTATTGTAATCTGACACAGGCAAAATTATGGTTCCCACACCCCAACCCCAAATGAAACCTGGGATTTTGAATGTGGCTCTAAGAGTTAACATTGCTGTCTGTATGTCGTGTATGCTAGGTGATATCCTCAGTAGGGATTGACTACTAGACTGTGTGTTTTATCAAAGTGTGTAAGAATAAAAACTCACTTGCACGAATTGAAACGTAAAGAAATGACACTTGTGAACGTGTGAACGTTAACACTGTAGTTGATAGATCTTAAGCTGCTAATTGTTGAGAGAGATTTAAATTTATGTTCTGTCTGGTCGCTGCAGATTCTCAGCAGCACTTTTACTGTATATAGAAATTGAAATAAAGACCTCAGCTATTAACCTGGTGGTCAGACTCATGTTTGTTTTGCTTTTTATTTTTGAAACATTTAACATATGTAGTTCTACATGCATGTAATGCATTATTATCCAGCCTAGTGCCACCTGTAGTTTTGTTATAAAAGTAGTAATTTCTATTAGGACTTTTTCCTGATGATCTCTGGGAGGCCTCTGGAAATCCTGAAGTCCTAAACTTGCCTTTGACCTGGTACCAAGCAGAGACATGATGATTCGGTCCTTCACAGCTCCAGTCTGAATGTCGAGAGCTTTAGTCCCACTTCTGGCTTGCTAGCTGTGTGCCTCTTACCCCATGTATAAACTAGTGATACCACACCACCCAACTTGATCCTACAGGTGGATGTTGTGAGAGCAAGGGATACATCTTGTGAAATCTTTGAAAATTCCCCTTAAAATATGGGCCAGGCTGCCATGTACAGATATGCAGGTTGTATATTGCCCAACCCTGCGGGGGCTTCATAAGTCTGATAAACTGTGAACAACATCCAGGAGTTGTGTAGTGCATACGGGACACATAGAGCTGCCATGATAATGGGCGATACATAATTTCAAAACCTGCTTTATTTTTATCCTTTAAAAACCTTGGAGACTTACTGAATGCCAGTAAAAACTGGGTGTGGTGGCTCTCACACCTGTAATCCCAAAACTTTGGGAGGACAAGGTTGGAGGATTACTTGAGGCCAGGAGTTTGATACCAACCTGGGCAACATAGTGAGACCCCTATCTCTACAAAAAATAAATTTAGCTAGGTGTGGTGGCAGGCACCTGTAGTCCCAGCTACTCAGGAGGCTGAGGTGATAGCATCACTCGAGCCCAGGAGTTTGAGATTACAGTGAGCTATGATTACACCACTGCACTCTAGGCTAGGTGGCAGAGCGAGACCCTGTCTCAAAAAAAGAAAACTTCAGAGAGTGGAAGGCAGATGACATAAATTTGAGAAGCTGTGGTGTAGAAAACAGATTGGGGAGGCAGAGGAAGGTATGGTCAACTAGAAATGCATGCTTCACCTGAAGGGTTCAAATATACTTAAATCCTATGGTCCAAACTAAACATTTAGCTGACTTGTAGCCCCAAGTCTATAGTGAAGAATAGCTAACGTTTATTGAGTATTTACTGAGTGCCAGACATCATTCAGTTTTATCAGTCAATTCTCCCCCACAGTCTTATGCAGGAGATATCCTCATTGTTTAGGTAAGAACTCTGAAGCTTGGGTTAAATGGCTTGCCCAAAATTAATGTTAGGAAATGGTAAATTAATGCAATGGAAAATAGGTCTATGCGACATATATAACAAAAAATGAGCGTCCACAATATTTAAGACTACAAATCAATAATCATCTTTCCTATTGGTAACAGCTCAATAGAAAAGACAGGCAATAGTTATAAACAGAGAGCTTATAGAAAAATGACCAATAAGCGGCTGGGCGCGGTGGCTCACGCCTGTAATCCCAGCACTTTGGGAGGCTGAGGCGGGTGGATCACGAGGTCAGGAGATCGAGACCATCCTGGCTAACATGGTGAAACCCCGTCTCTACTAAAAAGACAAAAAAATTAGCCGGGCATGGTGGTAGGCGCCTGTAGTCCCAGCTACTCGGGAGGCTGAGGCAGGAGAATGGCGTGAACCCAGGAAGCGGAGCTTGCAGTGAGCCGAGATGGTGTCGCTGCACTCCAGCAGCCAGGGCGACAGAGCGAGACTCTGTCTCAAAAAAAAAAAAAGAAAAGAAAAATGACCAATAAGCATACCAGAAAATTGTTCAGCCTCCTGTATAATCAGTGCATTAAGATTTAAAAAGCCAACTGTGGAACAATATATTGTCTCCCATTTATGTTGAGAATATGTATATTTGTGTAAATATATGCATGTGGATGTGTAAAAACTTTGCATTAAACTTTCCCGTTATTTTGGGAAGGGAGAGGGAGGAACAGTGGTTAAGCAGCACTTTCATGCTTGGCTTCTATAAAGTATGAATCTCTTTGAAGAAAATGTATTTGTGTATTTTTTAAATTAAATATATCAAAAACTTAAAAATAGGTCCAGTGAGAAGTGAAAAAAGAATTGATAGTGTTCCTAATGACAGATCATACTAGACCATCTTTTGCCTCCAGATTGCCTTAGAGGGGGCTCTAGACCAAGTTTGGGCCACCCCTTGAGCTTTCTTCCAGCCCTGGATTTCTAGGCTTGGGGGTCACATAGATGTCCCGCTGCCAGAAGCCCTGCGGGCTGAGAAGGAGGAGCACGTGCAGAGGTGACAGCAGCAGCTGGTACCTCCTATTTAGCCAGCAGCACTTAAGAGCCACTCTATACAAGACTGGGCTGTGGAAAAAGGAACTTAGTAGAATGAAATACATGTGGTAAAGAGGCAGAAGACGTGTGGGAGCAAAGAGGAGGAAGCAATTCTAACAGAGCAATAGGGAAAGGCTCAACGGAGGAGGCCATGGTATCTGGACTGAAAGATGGTGGCTTTATGATGAGCAGAAATAGGTGAGGGGGCATTTCTATTGGAGGTATTAGCAAAACCACAGAGGTGAAAACGGCCTAGGTGAGCAGTTCAAGCAATGGATAAGGAGCCTTAAGTGACTGGTAGGGTGCCTGAAAGAATGTGTGAGAATCATATGTGGGGGCCAAGTTGCAAGAAATCTTGAATACCACGCTAAAGGTTTACCTTGTGACTACAAGAGAAGCCATTACAGGTGTTGAAAGGTGACCCAGCCTTCTGTTTAATTACAGCCCTTTGAGAAGAAACCAGAAACCTGTTTTTCAGGTCATCCCAATCAGTTGGGTGTTTGAGGAATGGTGTCCAAGGTATTTGGTCTTTTGCCTATTGATCCTGTAAGTAGAGGCTCTTCACAGTTTTTTGATAAGTGGAAAAAGGGTGTAGGCAACTCAGAGTTCAGTTCTTTTAAAAAAAAAAAATCCCTGGGCCAGGCGCTGTGGCTCACGCCTGTAATCCCAGCACTTTGGGAGGCCGAGGCAGGCGGATCACGAGGTCAAGAGATGGAGACCATTCTGGCCAACATGGTGAAACCCCGTCACTACTAAAAGTACAAAAATTAGCTGGGCGTGGTGGCACTCACCTGTAGTCCCAGCTACTTGGGAGGCTGAGGCAGGAGAATTGCTTGAACCTGGGAGGCGGAGGTTGCAGTGAGCCGAGATCACGCCACTGCACTCCAGCCTAGCGACAGAGCAAGACTCCATCTCAAAAAAAAAAAAAAAATCCCTGTCACCTTTGGTATTACAATCCTTAAATCCCAGAGCAAGAGTACTTGACAAAATTTATTCATGCTTCTGTCTTACTGAATGTTTAAGCTGTTCAAGAGAATATTCTTTATCTGTTGAAAGAATTCAGTTCAATAGTTTTCGAGACTGTATTAAAAGGTGCAACAAATCATGATGAAAATGAATTATGTTAAATTTTGCCTAAAGCTGCTTCTGTACATATCTTAAGTTTGGCCTAAAGGTTTCTCCATACATAGGGAACTGTAACCTAGCCAGGCATAAGCAGATTGGAACCTACTCTTGTAACGAGTAGCCAAGTCTCCGCCAATCACAGCAGCCGAACTTCAGTCAACCACAGGCAGCCAACTGTTGAAATAAGGTACAAGCCCAGAATAAGTTTAACAAGAATAAGTGAGGTCTGCATACCTCACTTCAATTTTTTATACACCACTTGCCTTTTTCTGTCCATAAATGTTACTTAGCCATATGGCAGCCCCAGACTCTCACTGACCTGTCCTGGTCTTAGGGGCTGCCCAATTCATGAATCATTCTTTGTTAAATTTAACTTGTCTAAAGTTTTTATTTTAAGTATTTTATTTTATTTTATTTCATCTCATTTTATTTTGACAGAGTCTTGCTCTGTCGCCCAGGCTGGAGTGCAGTGGCACGATCTTGGCTCACTGCAACCTCCATCTCCCAGGTTCAAGTGATTCTCCTGCCTCAGCCTCCCAAGTAGCTGGGATTATAGGCCTGTGCCACCACACCGAGCTAATTTTTTGTATTTTTTAGTAGAGACGGGGTTTCACCATGTTGGCCAGGCTGGTCGCTGGTCTCGAACTCCTGACCTCAGGTGATCCACCCACCTCAGCCTCCCAAAGTGCTGGGATTATAGGCATGAACCACCGCGCCTGGCCTCTTTTAAGAATTTTAATAACCACTTTACCTTAACAGAAGGTTGTGAAGGTTATGAGGATTAAATGAAAATTGTACAGAGCCTAGCCCAGCATCTGGCAAGAGAAAGTGCTATACCATGATCTTGATTATTAGTAGACTGAGAATTCCTAGAGGACAGGCACCTGTGTCACTCATCTAACTCTCTTCAGAATATAGCACATCTCCCATTCTTACCAACGAAGAGCCCAGTAGCCAGAATTTGGGCTATCCTCAGCCAGCCCTGGCTCTTAAGTTGGTTTGGGGAACCAAAAAATCAGTATGTGTCAGAGAATGGGCTGGCCATGGGGACAAGAAAAGAATATCGTGTCCATAAGAACAAAAACTCGCAAATGGGGCCAGGCACAGTGGCTCACGCCTGTAATCTCAACACTTTGGGAGGCCAAGGCAGGTGGATTGGTTGAGGCCCAGAGTTCAAGACTAGCCTGGGCAACATAGACTCTATCTCAAAAACAAAACAAAACGAAACAAAAAAGCCTTTGCGAGTGAATACACATATAATTGGCTGATAATCTATTTTACTTATAATTTCTTAACCAGCACAGTGACAGGGACGTTGTCAGTTTGTGGCTATGTCCTAAGTGCCTGAAACAATGCCTGGCCCAGAATTGGTGCTCATTAAAAAGTGGAACTTAAAAAATTGCTATTAATTGAGTCCCTATTCTGTGCCAGGCACAGTGCCACTTGTTATGCTTCTGATTGTTTCAACCGTTCTAAAGAGGAGGTGGTATAACTTCCATTTTTCAGATGAAACCAAAAGCTTGGGAAGGTTGTTTGCATTTTATCTTGTGGACAAGCTGTTTCACTAGTAAATGGCAAAGTCAGGATTTGAACTTGGTTGAGTTTGATTCTAAAGCCCATGCAATTTCTGCTATTCCATTTTGTTGGGCAAGGAATCAAGAATTGTGGATTTCAGACTTTGTGTAATCTTGAGAAGGCAAGGATCTGACTTCTTCTGGATCTCTGTGTCCCTGCTGTAAAGTCACCTTAGTTCTCCTCCAGCAATCAAATAATAAAACAATTATTTGGTGCCGAGCTCACGATCTCCCTATGAGCATTGGCCATGGCCACCGAAAGGGTTAAACATCAGGACAGGACAAGGTGGGAATTTATAGCTGAAATCTAGGCATGACCATAACAGGATTGTGTGTGTGGCAGAGGGGAGGGGGAGCAGGGGATGGATTTGAGGCAAATGTACAAAATGTCTGCATGGTGGTGGGTACCAGTATTCTTACTGTATGAAGTATTTCAGAATCTAAAAGAGAAAATAAAATATAAGGAATCTGGAGGGCGGAAGGAGGGAGAGAAGCAGGAAAATAATAACTAATGGATGAAATAATCTGGGTGATGAAATAATCTGTACAACCAATCCCCATGACACACGTTTACCTATGTAACAAACCTGCACATCCTGCACATGTACCCCTGAACCTAAAAGTAAAAAATAAAAATAAGGAGTCATGGTATTGACATATAGCACATTAATGGGAGCAAATGATGGTAATTGGGCATATTCACATTCTTCATGAAATCTGTGAGTTTTGCTCTGTGGGGAAAAGCAAGAGAGATCAGATTGTTACTGTGTCTGTGTAGAAAGAAGTAGACATGGGAGACTCCATTTTGTTCTGTACTAAGAAAAATTCTTCTGCCTTGAGATTCTGTTAATCTATAACCTTACCCCCAACCCCGTGCTCTCTGAAACATGTGCTGTGTCAACTCAGAGTTAAATGGATTAAGGGCGGTGCAAGATGTGCTTTGTTAAACAGATGCTTGAAGGCAGCACGCTCCTTAAGAGTCATCACCACTCCCTAATCTCAAGTACCCAGGGACACAAAAGCTGCGGAAGGTCGCAGGGACCTCTGCCTAGGAAAGCCAGGTATTGTCCAAGGTTTCTCCCCATGTGATAGTCTGAAATATGGCCTCGTGGGAAGGGAAAGACCTGACCGTCCCCCAGCCCGACACCCGTAAAGGGTCTGTGCTGAAGAGGATTAGTATAAGAGGAAGGCATGCCTCTTGCAGTTGAGACAAGAGGAAGGCATCTGTCTCCTGCCCGTCCCTGGGCAATGGAATGTCTCGGTATAAAACCCGATTGTATGTTCCATCTACTGAGATAGGGAAAAACCGCCTTAGGGCTGGAGGTGGGACATGCGGGCAGCAATACTGCTTTGTAAAGCATTGAGATGTTTATGTGTATGCATATCTAAAAGCACAGCACTTAATCCTTTACCTTGTCTATGATGCAAAGACCTTTGTTCACGTGTTTGTCTGCTGACCCTCTCCCCACAATTGTCTTGTGACCCTGACACATCCACCTTACGAGAAACACCCACAGGTGTGGAGGGGCAACCCACCCCTACATTGCTCAACTGGTCAGAATTCTTTTTGTTTTGTTTGGTTTGGTTTTGTTTTTGAGACAGAGTCTCTGACGCCCAGGCTAGAGTGCAATGGTGCAATCTCGGCTCACTGAAACCTCCTCCTCCTGCGTTCAAGCAATTCTCCTGCCTCAGCCTCCTGAGTAGCTGGAATTACAGGCACCCACCACCACACCCGACTAATTTTTGTATTTTTAGTAGAGAAGGAGTTTCACCATGTTGGCCAGGCTGGACTCGAACTCCTGACCTCAGGTGATCCGCCCGCCTCAGCCTCCCAAAGTGCTGGGATTACAGGCATGAGCCACTGCGCCCAGCCAACTGGTCAGAATTCTTATAGAGCACATCAAGATGTCTCTGGTATTTCAAAAACCAGTGTTCAAAAGAAAAATATAGTATCGGTTCTATCCCACTTAGTTTTGCATTTACTGTAGTGATTAAAGGCTCATACATACCATGGGACATCTGAGAGAAGTAACTGCAAGCAGCTTAAAACTTTCTCGGCCGGGCGCGGTGGCTCACGCCTGTAATCCCAGCACTTTGGGAGGCTGAGACGGGCGGATCACGAGGTCAGGATATCGAGACCATCCTGGCTAACATGGTGAAACCCCGTCTCTACTAAAAATACAAAAAATTAGCCAGGCATGGTGGCGGGCGCCTGTAGTCCCAGCTACTCGGGAGGCTGAGGCAGAAGAACCGCTTGAACCCGGGAGGCGGAGGTTGCAGTGAGCCGAGATCACGCCACTGCACTCCAGCGTGGGGGACAGAGCGAGACTCCATCTCAAAAAAAAAAAAAAAACAAAAAAACTTTCTCATCATGTCCTTTACAAGCAAAACATAAGAATTGTTTTAACAGTTGATTTTGCTTTCTTTTTTTTTCTTTTTTTTTTTTTTTTTGAGAAGGCGTCTCACTCCGTCGCCCAGGCTGGAGTGCAGTGGCGCAATCTCGGCTCACTGCAACCTCGGACTCCTGGGTTCAAGCGATTCTCCTGCCTCAGCCTCCCAAGTAGCTGGGACTACAGGTGCCTGCCACCACACCCGGCTAATTTTTTGTATTTTTAGTAGAGACAGGGTTTCACCATGTTAGCCAGGATGGTCTTGATCTCCTGACCTCATGATCCACCTGCCTCAGCCTCCCAAAGTGCTGGGATTACAGGCTTGAGCCACCGTGCCCAGCCAATAGTTGATTTTTCAAACACAAAATTTAAGAATTTCAAACATCAGGCCACACAGTTTTCATCTTTTTTTTTTTTTTTTTTTTGAGATAGAGTCTTGCTCTGTCACCCAGGCTGGAGTGCAGTGGTGCAATCTTGGCTCACTGCAACCTCTGCCTCCCAGGTTCAAGCGATTCTCCTGCCTCAACCTCCCGAGTAGCTGGGATTACAGGGGCATCCCACCACGCCTGGCTAATTTTTTGTATTATATTTTTGCATTTTAGTAGAGAGGGGGGTTTCACCATGTTGGCCAGGCTGGTCTCTAACTCCTGGCCTCAAGTGATCCACCCGCCTCAGGAGTGGAATTTCTGGGTCATATGGGAACTCTGTGTTTAACCTGTTGAGAAACTACCAGACTGTTTCCAAAGTGGCTGCACTATTGTACATTCCCACCAGCAGTATATGAGGGTTCCAGTTTCTTCATATCCTCACCAGCACTTGTTACCTGACTTTTTTTTTTTTTTTTTTTTTTTGAGATGGAGTCTCGCTCTGTCGCCCAGGCTGAAGTGCAGTGGCACGATCTTGGGTCACTGCAAGCTCCGCCTCCCAGGTTCATGCCATTCTCCCGCCTCAGCCTCCCGAGTAGCTGGGACTACAGGCGCCTGCCATGCCCGGCTAATTTTGTTTTCATATTTTTAGTAGAGATGGGGTTTCACCATGTGAGCCAGGATGATCTCGATCTCCTGACCTCACGATCTGCCCACCTCAGCCTCCCCAAGTGCTGGGATTACAAGAGTGAACCACTATGCCCGGCCTTTTTTTTTTTTTTTTTTTTTTTTTTTGAGACGGAGTCTTACTTGGTCGCCCAGGCTGGAGTGCAGTGGCTCAGGCTCACTGCAACCTCTGCCTTCCGGGTTCTAAGCAATTCTCCTGCCTTAGCCTCCCAAGTAACTGGGATTACAGGCATGCACCACCATGCCTGGCTAATTTTCATGTTTTTAGTAGAGGAGGGGTTTCACCATGTTGGTCAGGCTGATCTCGAACTCCTGACCTCAAGTGGTCCACCCATCTCCGCCTCCCAAAGTGCTGGGATTACAGGCATGAGCCACCATGCCCGGTCCTGACTTTTTTATTCCAGCCATCCTAATGGGTGTAAAGTGGTACCTCACTGTGGTTTTGATTTGCATGTCCTTTATGACTAAGTATTTTTATTCTAATATCTCTTTTCATTAGCTTTCCTATTTCCTCCCAGCCCAAGCTGTGACTATCACATTTCATTATTGCCAGTGTGCCTGCCCTGAAAGCCCTTCATTTCCCCCCAACAACTGCCTTTCACTTACTGTGAGCTGGGAATCCATATAACCCAACTTGTCAGAACTTTGTCCAAAGTCAGATTAAATGGATTCTGAACAAGCCCCACAAATAAGATACGTGCTTGGATTTTGTGACTGCTTATCTGGCAGTTTTGAGACTATTTCTGCTTAAAACCAGATTTTATTTGAAAAAAAAAAGACGGAAGGAAGGGAGGAAGGGCAGGAGGGAAGGCGAGAAGGAGGGAGTGAACCAATGCAGCATAGCCTAGTAAAAGTTACTCTGGCCTGGGCTCTGATTCCAGCTCAGCTTCCCACTAGTTGTGTAACCTTGGACAAGGTCCCCTAACTTCTCTGAACCTCCATTTCCATGTATGGTGAGGGTTTGAGCTAGATGATCTTTTAGTATTTCTAGCTCTGCTAGTCGGCCTACAACCTCATGCAGGCATCCCATCTCTGCCCACATTGTGCCTCGTGCTGCTTCACTCCTCTGCACGTTTGCACACTCCACTCCCTCTTCTTGTAATGAGCACCCTCCCACACCATTTGTCTACCTGGCAAACTCCTATTTATTCTTCTTTATTCCTCTAGCTTCATTGAGTTATGATTGACAAATAAAAATTGTGTGTGTGTATATATATATATGTATATGCATAATATATATGTTTTTTTAAAGACAGGGTCTTGCTCTGTCGCACAGGCTGGTGTACTGTGAGGCTCGCAACAGCCTCAGCCTTCCAGGCTCAAGTGATCCTCCCACCTGAGCTTCCAGAGTAGCTAGGATTACAGGTGCACACCACCACACCTGGCTAATTTTAAAAATGTTTTTAGAGACAGGGTTTCGCCATGCTGCCCAGGCCAGGCTGGTTTCCAATTCCTGGGGCTGAAGTGATCATCCCACCTCAGCCTCCCAAAGTGCTGGGAGTACAGGTGTGAGCCACTGCAGAGTGGATAATTGTATTTTGCAATATGAGAAGGACATGAGATTCAGGGGGCCAGGGATGGAATGATATGGTTTGAGTGTTTGTCCCCTCCAAATCTCATGTTGAAATGTAATCTCCAATGTTGAAGGTGGAACCTGGTGGGAAGTGATTGGATCATGGGGGTAGATCCCTTATGAATGGCTTAGCGCCATCCCCTTGGTAATGAGTGAGTTTTTGCTCAGTTCATGTGAGATTTGGATGTGAGATTTGGTTGTTTAAAAGAGTGTGGAACCAGGGGGAGATGCCTCTCTCTCTCTTGCTGCTGCCTCTCTGCCATGTGATGCCCTGGCTCCCCCTTCACCTTCCACCATGATTGTGAGTGTCCTGGGACCCTCACCAGAAGCCAATGCTGGCACTATGCTTCGTGTACAACCTGCAGAACAGTGAGCCAAAATTAAACTTCTTTTCATTATAAATTACCCAGCCTCAGTTATGTCTTTACAACAATGCAAGAATGGGCTAACATAGCACCCAAATAGCCGAAGCAATCTTGAGAAAGAAGAACAAAGCTGGAAGCATCATATGTCCTGATTTCAAACTATACTACAAAGCCATAATAATAAAAACATTATTAACTTGGCAAAAATTAACTTGGCAAATAAAACTGGCTTCTAGAAGAAAATATAAGAAAAAGGCTCTTTGCCATTGGTCTTGGCAACAGTTTTTGGGATATGACTCTTACTTATTCTTTTATTTAACTTTTTACAATGAAATTTCCCAAAAATCTACAAAAAGAGAAGAATATAATGAACTACAATCAACAATTACCAACTTCTTTTTTTGTGAGATAGAGTCTCGCTCTGTCACCCAGGCGGGAGTGCAATGGCACGATCTTGGTTCACTGCAACCTCCATCTCCCAGGTTCAAGGGATTCTCCCACCTCAGCCTCCCAAGTAGCTGGGACTACAGGCACATGCCACCACACCCAGCTAATTTTTGTATTTTTTGGTAGAGATGGGGTTTCACCATGTTGGCCAGGCTGGTCTCAAACTCCTGACCTCAGGTGGTCCAACTGCCTTAGCCTCCCAAAGTGCTGGGATTACAGCCATGGGCCACCATGCCCAGCCAACAGTTACTAACTTCTGGTGAACCCTGCTTCATCTATACCTGCCCTCCACTTCCCACGTCACTTCAATCTGAATCATTTTGAAGCAAATACCACATAAGATACATCATTTGTCTTTTTTTGGGGGGGAGGGGTGACGTGTTATTGTTTTGTTTTGTTAGGTGAAACTCAAATTAACCATTTTAAAGTGAAAAACTGCATGGCATTTAGTGTATTCACAATATTGTGCAACCATTACCTCTATCTAATTTGAAAACATTTTCATCACCCCAAAAGGAAATCCCATACCCATTAAGTAGTTGCTCCCCATTCTCCCCTTCTACTCACCCCGGGTAGCCACCAGTATGCTTTCTGTCCACGTGGATTGACCTATTCTGGATGTTTCACACAAGTGGAATCATACAGTATGTGATCGTTTGTGCCTGGCTTCTTTCACTTAGCACAGTTTCAAGGTTCACCCATGTTGTAGAGTATGTCAAGACTTCATTCCTTTTTATGGCTGAATGATATTTCACTGTATGGATAGACCACACTTTGTTTATCATTAGTTGATG
The DNA here is from genome assembly GCF_000001405.40 of Homo sapiens. Lineage (NCBI taxonomy): Eukaryota > Metazoa > Chordata > Mammalia > Primates > Hominidae > Homo > Homo sapiens. Next base: position 129,636,173 of record NC_000003.12, on the reverse strand, counting down.
GACACCTGTTTTCATCTGTTGGCTATTGTGAATAGTGCTGCTGTGCACTTGGGTGTACATGCACTTGTTTGAGTCCCTGTTTTCAATTCCTTTGGATATATACCTAGGAGTGGCATTGCTGGGTCATGTCGTGATTCTAGATGTAACTTTTTGAGGACTTAGGGAGCCTCTCCTTTGTGAAGCCTGTTCTGATGTCCTCACATACATGCAGTTGAGCTCTCCACCTCTGTCACACTCTCTGTAGTAGCACCTATCCATAGGTGTAGCCGCTGCACTTCTGGATTATCAGCCTCCTCTGCTATCAGCCATCCACTGAGCAAAGGGCAGACAGGCAGGAACTGGGGCTCTTCTTCAAGACTTTCCTCTTCCATCTCCCTTCTGTCGTCCACACACACGATCCAAAGATCAAGGCCTGAATTGCTGAATTGGTACTATTGGTTAATTTGAGGTTTTACTGTACTGAATCCTTCTTCTGGTAAACTTTCTCACCCATCCTCATTCTTGTGAACAAATGTGAACCTGAAAGAGCTAATCCTTCAGGACGGATCCTTAGTGGCTAACTGGGCCTAAATTTAAAACAGAGCCAAGGGGCCATTTGCTGACTAGAGGTCACACACATACTGAGTTCCCTGAAAATCCACACCTCTCTCTTCAATTTTGGGGTGTTCAGAGCTCACTTGCACCAGCCACTCACAGCTCAGTTATGTCAACCAATCTCAGCTCAGCTGTATCAACCAATCAGGGCTCAGCTGTGTTGACTAATTAAAACTAAGCAAATTTGAATCCTTCATTTGCATAAATAGACCTGATTGGGAACCTGGGCAGGGACTTTCCCTATAAAACCTGAACCCTCCCTTTGTTCTCTGGAATGCACCTTCATTTTATACCAAAGGCTGCATCTCCCTGGTTTGCAAACTGTTCACTGGAATGAAGTCTATTTCCTGGCCAGGCATGGTGACTCACACCTGTAATCCTAGCACTGTGGGAGGCCAAAGCTGGAGAATCGCTTGAGCTCAGGAGTTCGAGACCAGCCTGGGCAACATAGTCTCTATAAAAATTTAAAAATTAGCCAGGCATTGGCTGGGCACGGTGGCTCACGCCTGTAATCCCAGCACTTTGGGAGGCCGAGGAGGGTGGATCACTTGAGGTCAGGAGTTCAAGACCAGCCTGGCCAACATGGTGAAACTCCGTCTCTACCAAAAATACAAAAATTTAGCTGGGTGTGGTGGCGCATGCCTGTAATCCCAGCTACTCAGGAGGCTGAGGCAGGAGAATTGCTTGAACCTGGGAGCCGGAAGTTGCAGTGAGCTGAGATCATGCCACTGCACTCCAGCCTGGATGACAGAGTGAGACTCCATCTCAAAAAAAAAAAAAAAAAGAAAAGAAAAGAAAAGAAAAAAAGAAAGAAAAATTAGCCAGCCATGGTGGTGTGCACCTATACTCCCAGCTCCTCAAGTGGCTGAGGTGGGAGGATCACTTGAGTCCAGGAAGTTGAGGCTTCAGTGAGGCATGATCGTGCCACTGCACCCCAGCCTGGGCAATAGAGCAAGGGCCTGTCTCAAGAAAATAATAATAAAGTTTCTTTTCTCCAAATCCCTTTTCAGAGAACTTTTGTTCACACTCCCCGTAGTTCACATGAAACTAATTCCCACCTGACCTCTGGCTCAAGGGATGGACACGTGATCTAAGTCAGGCCAACTGGAGTCGATCCTGGGACTCCTGATGGCTACATTCAGAGAGGAGCTCTACTCCCTAAACTCACCGCCTACAAGGACCCTGTGTAGCCAGGGCTGCCAGAGCACAGTCTGGATAGACCTGAGCATGAAGTCACAAGGGAGGCAGGCAAAGCCCAGACACAGAGGCCAGAGTTGAGTTTCTGGTAAAACCAGTCTAGCCCCTGGATGCAGTCCCACCTGAAGCCACCTTCATCTCTTGAACCTCCCTTGTCATGAGCCAGTAAGTTCTCTTTATTGCTGAAGCTAGTTTGAGTGGGTTTTGCCACCTGCAGCCCAGTGACACGTGGTGGTGGACCTGTAAGGCACTGCCTGCCAGCGCCTCCCCTCATGACCACACCTCCCTCCAGCCATGCAGTCTTCATGGGAGCCACCACATTCTCAGTGTGGGGCTTTGGAGCTTGGGACCAGAGGGAGGCAGTGCCGGTTCTTGGGCCCTAGGGGCAGGTCATTGTGAAAGGCTGCAGGCAGGCAGGGGAGGTGAGAGACAGCACCCACCACAGCCCCCAGGGCGGGGCCCAGCCTCCCGCGACCACAGTACACTCACCCTCCGCGTGGCTTGGCTGCTCAGCCTGTCTTTTGATCATGTAAGAGATGCCAGTCTACTTTGCACTGATCCCCTTTCTGGCCTAATCTAGTTTGGGATGTGTTTCAGTAAGCTGCATATCCATGTGGCTCCCACAAGCTCCTTAAGGCACAAACCTCTTCTTATTCACTTCTGCATCTGTCACCCTTGCAGAGCGCCCTAATGGTCCCTGACTTAATGCCAGCTAGGACCCAGCACTTGCCTTTCTGTGAAGTGCATGCCTGTGCCAGGGACTGTGCTAAGTCACTATGTGTAACATCATGCTCAGGCCTCCCAGTATCGCCACTGGATACTATTAGGTTGACCCATGTGTTTTTTCCAAAATCCAACTGGTTTTGGATCTACAGAAGCAGTAACTTCATATGGCCCAAACTAATATGAATTTTTTGCTGATGAAGCCAGAGAGATGGGGTCTCGCCCAAGGTAAACCAGCTAGAAAACAATGATTTGCGCTGATAGGAAAGGTGAGGACTTGATCTCTGGATGGCATGAGTAGGCAACCAAAGGGAGGATGAAAGAGGAAAGTCTCGAAGCAGAGCCCCGTCCCTGCCCCTCTGCCCTTTGCTCAGTGGATGGCTGACAGCAGAGGAGGCTGAGAATCCGGAAGTGCAGCGGCCACACCAGGCCGCTTCAGCACTGCCCTGATGTGGGGCCACAGTGTGTCCAGGAGGCAGGCCACCCACTGTTTCCCACAGGGCCCAGCCCTGCCCCGCCACAAGTGGGTCACAGCATCTTTGCCACCCCTGGAAGCCCGAACCGCAGTCCCAGAGCAGCAGAGCACTCTCAGGGCCGGGCTTGTTCTGCAGAGCCCTGGTGGTCAGGTGCCCCTGGGGCCTCTGGGGCAACATGTCTGTGAGGCATACCCGAAGTGGGCAGAGCAGGTATTCTGGAGCCTTCTGCCCAAGCCTGGTGACCTCAGGCAATCCACTTCACTTCTGGCTGCCTCTTTAATGCAGCTAAAAAATTGACATAATGCAGCACTGGTCCCATGAAGTTACTATGAGGATTTCATGAGTTAATCCACGCAAAGTCTCTAGGACAGCCTGTGACCAGTGCTTCTCCCTCCCCCACACAGGCCCTCTAGGACGTCTTCGCTCTCCCCTGCATATCCACGCCAGTGTCGGCTATGCTACACTTCGCACCCGCTCCATGGTGAGCTGTGCTGTGTGTCCACACTTCTGTCCACCCAGCTGGATGATAAGCAGGCTCAGGGGCTGGGCTTCCCTCCTCAGGGACCTCCCAGTCCCTCAATGGATGGGCGCGTGACTGTGACCCCGAGATATAAATCCCCTGAGGGCGCTTCAAGATGCCCCCAGCTTTAGAAAGGGAGAGACCAAGTGTGAAGCAACCAATGACTGAGACAGAAATCTCAGTTGCAAGCCCGAGGCTGCAACCTGGAAGACAGTGGGGCAGCAGTTGAATGCAGAGCTCAGGAGCCATGGTTGGGGCCAACAGGATGGCCCAGGCCCTCCTTCCCCTGGTCAAAGCCCAAGGCCCTGCAGAGCCGGCCCCTCCCCAGGCAGCCTGGGCCTCCTGGAGGACCCTTGTTTCAGCCCCAGGAATGAAGATGGCCAGCTGAGGCTGCAGCCTCTCTCGGCAGGGCCGTGAGCGGTGTCTGTGCTTGAGGACCAGCTCCAGGCCCCTGCTGAACAGCCCCTGCGACTGCAGCGCTTCCCCGTCTTCAAATGCAGGCCGAAGTTCAAGGCACCTCCATCCCCAAGGCTAGGATCCAGCCTTGGAACCAAGCCTCTGCCCCCATAGCCCACAGAGCCCTCCAGCCCTGAGCGGAGCCCACCCTCCCCAGCCACAGACCATAGAGGCAGCGGCCCCAATCCCTGACCCTGTCCTCTCCTGATGCATGAGATTATTTTATTAAAAAAACTCAAAGAAAAAAAAAATAGAACAGGTACCTAGAGGAACTGGAGTCTGCTGGAGGGCAGCCTATGGCGGGCTCCCACACCTCAGGGGGCAGCTCCTAGGCACTGCCCAGCCAGGAACCGCAAACTGTGTTACCGGTGGGTCCCCCAAAAGAATATGGAAACACCTTATACCCTCTCACACGTTTAAAAATTCATATTTACAACATTAAACTGGAAGCAAAGGATGTGATTTCCTGGATATGGTAAATATTGAGTTTTTATTCACTTATTTTAAATGTTTTTTAACTTTTCTTATTTATTTATTCATTTTAGAGACAAGGTCTCACTCTATCTCCCAGGCTGGAGTGCAACGGCACCATCACAGCTCACTTGCAGCCTTGAACTTGCAGCCCAGCCTTGAACTGGGCTCAAGCCATCCAAGAAGCTCGGACAACAGGGTGTTCCATCATGGCCAGCTAATTTCTTCTTTGTTGGTAGAGATGGGATTTTGCTATGTTGCCCAGGCTGGTCTTAAACTCAAATGATCCTCCTGCCTTGGCTTACTCCTCCCAAAGTGCTTACGGGCGTGAGCCACTGCGCTAGGCCAACACTGACGTTAAATGAGCTGTTTCATCACTTGTATAATGCATCCAGCGGCTTCTAAAAGCCCATAGTTGCTGGATGCCCACCACTACCCATGTAAAAGTACATGAACAAGCTCTTTTTTTTTTGAGATGGAGTTTCGCTCTTGTTGCCCAGTGCAATTAAGCAATCTCGGCTCACTGCAACCTCCACCTCCTGGGTTCAAGTGATTCTCTTGCCTCAGCCTCCCAGTAGCTGGGATTACAGGTGCGTGCCACCACACCCAGCTAATTTTTTGTATTGTTAGTAGAGATGGCATTTCACCATGTTGGCCAGGCTGGTCTCGAACTCCTGACCTCAGGTGATCCACCCTCCTCAGCCTCCCAAAGTGCTGGGATTACAGGCGTGAGCCACCGCGCCTGGCCTTTTTTTTTTTTTTTTTTTGAGACGGAGTCTCGCTCTGTGGCCCAGGCTGGAGTGCAGTGGCGCGATCTCGGCTCACTGCAAGCTCCGCCTCCCGGGTTCACGCCATTCTCCTGCCTCAGCCTCCCGAGTAGCTGGGACTACAGGCGCCCGCTACCACGCCCGGCTAATTTTTTGTATTTTTAGTAGAGACGGGGTTTCACCGTGTTAGCCAGGATGGTCTCGATCTCCTGACCTCGTGATTCTCCCGCCTCGGCCTCCCGAAGTGCTGGGATTACAGGCGTGAGCCACAGAGCCCGGCCCTGGCCTTTTTTTAAATGAAGTTTTTACATCAGTTTATTTCTCTTAGAAACTCGTATTCAATTCCACTGCCCCCACAAACTTTGAGCCTACAATGATGTATTCTCATGCCTGAAAGTATCTTATTGGTCACACCATCCTACTTCTCCATAGTAGAAACTATGCGTGTAAACCAAAATGGAAAAACACACATTTTCTGTGACTACAATCACTAAACGTTTCAAAGAAATTGCCAAGCATGGCAGCTTGCACCTGTAGTCCCTGTGACATGGGAGGATAGTTTGAGGCCAGGGGTTTGAGGCTGCAGTGGGCCATTACTGCACCACTGCACCCCAGCCTGGGTGACAGTGAGACCCCCATCTCTTAAAAAAAATTCTGGTAAGTTATTACAAATAACATTAGCATACAATTCATCAAAACATAAATTTATTACAATTATTTTTGAGACAAGGTCTCGCTCTGTTGCCCCAGCTGGAGTGCAATGGCACTATCACAGCTCACTGCATCCTTGACCTCCCAGTCTCAAGTGATCCTCCTGCCTCAGCCTCTCCAGTAGCTGGGACTTCAGACACGCGCCACTATGCCCGGCTAATTTTTTGTAGAGATGGGGTTTCACCATGTTGCTGAGGCTGGTCTCTACTCCTAAGCTCAAGTGATCCTCCTGCCTTGGCCTTCTGAAGTGCTGGGATTACAGGGGTGAGCCACTGCACCCGGCCTACAAGTGTTGATAGATACTTATTAAACAAAGTAAAATGTTGTTAGCAATGTATTTCTTATACATTGATTGTTGCGCTACTACCCAAACCTCATTTAGTGCACCAGTGGATAAACATTCTTTATTTCTGTGATGAGTCAATGGTCGGCATCGTCTCTTCCAATTTCTCATTTTTATAGAGGTAAGCACTGAGAAGTCTTGTCACATAAATAAGCAAAGGGAAAGGAGGGAGTACTGGAGCAATGCAACACAATTATTCCTTTGAATTTTCTGCCCAAAATCCATAGTAATCCATCATTAAGAATTATTTTTGTTACCACTGGGTAATGGGTAAGTAAAGGTTCATTGTAGAGGTCTCTCTACTTTTGCCTGTGTTTACATTTTCCATAGTAAAAGTTAAAGAAATTATTTTTAACCTCTATTAGTTGACAAGTTGGTTGGATTATCCCCCAATTTTATTGCAAATATAAAATGAAAACCTCCTGACTCTCAGAAGGGTTTATCTCCAGTCTCCGGAGTCCTTCAAGCTCCTCTTCCTTTCCAGACCTAAAGCAATTCTTCTAACTGGCCTTTTGTCTGTCTCAGGATGGGGAGTATGTTCCCCAAAGCTGCCTTCTCAAGGAGTTGGTGCCTTTTGGGGAGTCTTGGATGCCCCATTCGAAGACTGTGGTGGGTGAATCAGGAGGTACCCCTTCGCCAAGAGCCTGGGGAAATGGGCCAGGCCAGGGAGGACGGAAGAATGGCTCCATCTCAGAATGCAAGTGCATCCTCTGCCCGCTCCAGCTCCTCCATGTGCCCTGCCCAGATCCTGGCACTTCTCACTGGAGAGGACTCGGGCCCTGCCCGGGGTCATGCAGTTATGAAGGATGAGGCTAGAACCCTTTGCACCCATCTTTTTCAAATTACTTCAGCCAAAGTAAGCTTGGTGAATAAGTTGCAATTAAAATAAAGGTGAACAAGCCTGGTGTGTTGGCATGCATAGTCCCAGCTACTCTGCAGACTGAGGGGAGAGGATCCCTTGAGCCCAAAAATTCAAGGCTGCAGTGAGCCATGCTGGTGCCACTGCACTCCAGCCTGGATGACACAGCAAGCCCCTGTCTCAAAACAAACAAACGAAATAAAATAACAAAATGAAAAAGGTGAACAACTAAATGTGATCCTGGCCGGTCGCAGTGGCTCACGCCTGTAATCCCAGCACTTTGGGAGGCCGAGGCGGGCGGATCACGAGGTCAGGAGATCGAGACCAGACTGGCTAACACGGTGAAACCCTGTCTCTACTAAAAATACAAAAAATTAGCCGGGCGCGGTGGCAGGCGCCTGTAGTCCCAGCTACTCGGGAGGCTGAGGCAGGAGAATGGCGTGAACCCGGGAGGCGGAGCTTGCAGTGAGCCGAGATCGCGCCACTGCACTCCAGCCTGGGCGACAGAGCGAGACTCGTCTTAAATAATAATAATTAAATTTACAAATGTGATCCTGGCGTGGCTCCTGGATGGGGATGGGAAGGGGATGTGCTATAAAAGACCTCGTTGCGACATTTGGTGATATTTGAGTAAGGTTGTGCAGATTAAATTATTGTATTATGGTTAAATCACTCGATCTTGAAAACCACTGGGGTTGTGCAATAGAATGTCCTTGTTCTTGGGCAATACACATTGGAGGACTTAGGGTTCAAGGGCCATCGCGCCTGCAACTTACTCTCCGATGCTTGCAATGGGGGCTTGAATATGCAAGGGCTGGGGAGCAGAATGTTAAAGCTTGGTGAATCTGCATTAATAAGGGAGGCAGTTCTCGGAACTATTCTCACGGCTTTTCTGTTACTTTGAAATTATTTCAAAACAAAACGTAAGCCTGGTCTCTGTCACCGCTTTGTGGCTGCTTCGAGGAGCGCACCCTCTGTGTCCAAGACCTTAAACTCCCTGCCTGGGGTCTGGGCTCCCGACGTTCCTGCCTACGCCGGTTTGATTGCCCTTCAAGCTTAGGTCCCTCTGCCTCTGCGAACCGCTGCAGGCCCATTTCTTGCACAACCAAAATGAAGTCATACTAATCTTGGCTTGAGAGGAGCCAGAATTTCAGAGCCTCCAACCCTGATGCTTTCTACAACCTGGGAAGCTGAGGCCCGGAGACGGAAGTGACCAAGCGCGACTAGATCTAAAGCCTTCCCGACTTCCATTTTTCTCAGTAGGCAAGTGGTCCAAGCCCCACCGTTTCCTTCTTGGATTTGAGTCTCAACTCCAGCCACTCCCCTCAAGTCTGGTCTCCCACTCTCACGCCCCTCCAGCCACTGGCCTCAAAACCACCGAGCACATCCACGCGGCCCTCGCCGACTCCCGCAGGGCTGCCTCCACCCCGCTGCTTCTTGCCGGCGCATAGCCTCCCAGAGCCTCCAATGACCGCCCAAGCGACTGCCCTCCCTCCCTCCCTCCCTCCTTCGCCTCCCCATCTGTGCAATTGAACATTCATTCATTGCCGCGGACTCGAGGCTGCCCAGTCCTCTTCCGGACAGGGCCCTGAGGACAGGACCTGGCTATCCGGCTTCGCGGTGTGTCCTCAGTGCCTGGCCCAGAGCGGCCAATTTGGCGAGAGCAGGAATCTCTGTCCCTGGTTCCTTTAGTCCCCAGCTTTGCTCCCAAGTGACCATCCGCGAGGCAGCGTCCCCTCCTTGGCATCTGCGGCTTCTAAGACGCTCAAGGGCCCAAGGGGGTGAATGAGGTGTGGGCGACTAACTGTAGCCCTGTCCTCTGGGGGCAGCATGCTGCGCAAGTGATGCCCGGCCAGGGAACGGGGTGCTGGGGCCGCAGTCACCGCAACTTCTGGGTGGAGCAGCGAGGGCCCGGGGGGCTCGGGAAGCTGGGGGTGTACCCGCAGCCGGGGAAGCGGAGGCACAGGACCTGGGCCCAGGGCTCGGAGCCCTTGCTCCCTCCAAGCGAGGCGGGACGAGCACGGGCTGCGGGACCTCCGCCCCGTGCCCCCGCCCCCCTAGGCCGGCTGGGAGCTGGCCAGGGGCTCAGAGGTCGCACCTCTGGCCGCGGGAGGACGAGGCGGAGCCGGAACGGAAGCGCGGACAATGGGCCCTCCGGGGCCGCTTCCGGCCTCTCTCTGCGGGGCGGGAGCACGGGAGAGCCTGGGGCCTGGCCTGGGCGGGGCTCGGGCGCCCTCCCTGGGTTGCCTTCGCAGCACCCCAGCCTGGGCCCCTCCCACCCCTGCCGGTCAGAAAGCAGGGACCCGCCCCGCCCCAGCTCTGTCCCCAGGCTAAGAACCTGGCACAGGCTGGCGAGTATGGAACTGGGTTGTTTTTAAAAACTTTTATTCATTGAGTTATAATTTACATCAGGAGAAGTGGCCTCAGATCTCAAATGTGAAGTCTGGTAAACTTTGCACGTTTATACCCTGTAAATGCTCTGAACAAGACATGGAACATTCCCAGCAACCAGAAAATTCCCTGGTGGCCCTTCCCAGTCAGTCCCTCCCCCCAGCCCCAGCCCTAGCCCTGGCAACTACCCATCTGTGTCCCGTCCTGTGGCCTGGCCTTTTCCAAACAGCATGTACATGGGATCCTGCAGCGTGGAGCCTTTCCAGCCTGGCTTGGAGATGCATCCTTGTGTCGGAGTATCAAGAGGCTGTTCCTTTTCGTTCCATTGTATGGAGGCCTCCATGTGTTTACCTCTTCACCAGCCCAGGGACACTTGGCTTGTTTCCAGATTGCAGAAATTATCAATGGAGCTGTGACAAGCATCTGTACAGGTTTTTATGGACCTGTGTTTTAATTTTATTCCAATATCTAGACGTGGGATTGCCAGGATGCACGTGTCTACATTTGACTTTTTTTTTTTTTTTTTTTTTTGAGACAGTCTCACTCTGTCTGTCCCAGGAGTGCAGTGGCGCAATCTCGGCTCACTGCAAGCTCCGCCTCCCGGGTTCATGCCATTCTCCTGCCTCAGCCTCCTGAGTAGCTGGGATTACAGGCGCCTGCCACCGCGCCCGGCTAATTTTTTTTGTATTTTTAGTAGACACAGGGTTTCACCGTGTTAGCCAGGCTGGTCTCTATCTCCTGACCTCGTGATCCGCCCGCCTCGGCCTCCCAAAGTGCTGGGATTACAGGCGTGAGCCACCGCGTCCAGCCACATTTGACTTTTTTTGAAGAAACTAGCAAAAGGTTTTACAGAGTGGCTGCACCATTTCACATTTCACCCCTGCCCCTGTGGCTCCACATCCTCACCCACACTTGGTGGTGTCAGTCTTTTCTGTCTCAGCCTTTCAAGTGGGAGTAGGGCTGTCTCAAGACAGGGTTGACTGAGCAAAGAGCGAACTCCCACCCAGCGCCTCCCAGTGGTTTCCTGCCCTTCCCTCATCCTGCTCCCAGATGGAGGTGCAGGCAGTGGTCCCAGCCCCAGCTCTACCCCACGAGTCCCCAGGTGAATGCTCCACCCCACGAGTCCCAGGACTGAGCAGGCACGCACCTTCCTATGCTCAAGTCCTCCTCAGACACTGGAGCAGGGAGGCACTGGCAGAGTCCCCAAGTCCAAAGTGATGGGCTGTGTTTCCACCTGGTCCTACCTGCTTAGCCATCTAGCCTTCTTCCCAAACAAGCAGCCTCTGGAGGAATCACTGGAAGACAGATGGGGAAGGGGGCGGTGAACACAGGTGCTGCGTGGGAAGCCGAGGGGATGGGTGGCTGCAGCCTGTGCCCCCAGCAGGTAGGCAGTCCTCATGGTTGGACCACCCACATCCACGGGCCCCCCTGGAGGCCCTGCTCTGCCTCTGAGACCCTGTGACCCTGTGTTTTGGGAGATGGGGTGGCAGTACCAAGGTGAGCCTGACTGCCTTCAGCAAACCTTTACTGTGCACCTACTGTGTGCCGGGCCCTGCTGTGGCCCTGGAGACATATCCCCTGCCCTGGTGAAGGTCCATCCAGTGAGAGAGATGGATACTAGCCCTGATTGGCACTTTGGTCAGGGAGGGCCTCTTTGGAGGGGGATATTTGAGCAGAAACCTGAGGGATAAGAAGGCGGCAGCCCTGGGGAGATCTGGAAAGGGCATGACAGGCAGAAGGCACAGCAAAAGCACCGTCCTGGACCAAGCTCAGTGAGGAGGCCAGTGCTGCTGGAGCGGAGAGCCAAAGGGAAGCCTCGATGGTGCCTCTGCCAGGGGTCCCAGCTACTCAGGAGGCTGAGGTTGGAGGATGGCTTGAGCCTAGGAAGTCGAGGCTGCAGTGAGCTGAGATCGCAACACTGCACTCCAGCCTGGGTGACAGAGTCAGACCCTGTCTCAAAAAAAAAAAAATAAAGAAGTGGAGCTGAGGATTCAGATATGCAGGAAGTGAGGGAAGATCATGTGAGGACACAGCCAGAAGGCACCATCTGCAAGCCAAGGAGAGAGGCTGCAGCAGACACCAACCCTGCAGACTCCTTGGTCTTGGACTTGGCCTTGCAGCCTCCAGAACAGCGGGAGAGGTCACGGGGCCAGGGGGAGGTTTGCTTGCTAGGCTGCCGTAACAAGAGGCCACAGACTGGATCGCTCAACAACAGAAACCTATTTCCTCTCAGTTCTGGAGGGTGCAAGTGGTACAGCCACAGCTCACTGCAGCCTTGACCTCCTGGGCTCAAGCCATCTTCCCACCTCGGTCCTCTAAGTAGCTGAGACTACGGGCAGCAGCCTCCATGCCCAGCTAACTTTTTGTAGAGATGGCGGGGCGGGTGGGGGGGGTCTCACTGTGTTGCCTAGGCTGGTCTCGAACTCCTGGGCTCAAGCGATCCTCCTGCATCAGCCTCCCAAAGTGCTAGGATCACAGGCGTGAGCCACCGCACCTGGCCCTAATCTCCTCATACCATCTCATTTTAACTTAATGAACTCTTTAAAGGCTGTCTCCAGATACAGTCTCATCCTGAGGTATTGGGGGTTTCAACATTTGAATTTGTCGGGGGCACACAGTTTGGACTAAGACAGAAGGAAGAGGAGGCCAGGGCGATTGGGATTGGGGCCTGAGCCCCGGCTGAGTGAAGGAGAGGAGAGCACCACATCTCCTTCCTCAGCCACTGAGCGCCTACTGTGTGCAGCCCAGCCTCTGGGGGTGAGGAAGGCAAGGCTGGAGGTGAGAACCTGGCTGGGAGAGCTGACTCGGGCCTCCTGCTCCTCCGGCCTTTCCTCCTTCCTCCTTCCTCCCGGTGGGGGAGCCTGACCCCCTTGGACAAACATCTTGCGGCTGTTTCCGCCTCGCCAGCCCGGAGCCCCAGCCCAGCCTGAACAAACACTCGGGACTCGTGCTTCCGGCCTTGGCTCTGGGAAAAGCCCAACCAGGAGCTGCTGAGGTCAACCCTGGAGGGAAGTGGAAGGGGGAGGCACCCAGTCCCTACGTAGGGGTCAGCCGGACCTGGCCTGGGGACCCCTTGCTGCTTTTGGAGCCACCAGCACAGTGCTGGGGCTCTAGTGTGCCCCATCTGTAAAATGGGCCTAATTACACCCTCTGGAGGACTGTGGGGCAATGGAAAGCCCTGCCTGGGCCTGGCACCAAGGACGGGTGATATGGCCCACAGGGCTGTGAGGGGCTTTGGGGAGTAAGGTTATCTGAGGTCCAGTAGGCACCCCAAGGGACTGTCCCCAGGGCACCTTAGTGCTGGAAGGGGCCAGACTACTCCTTCCCTCCTGTGGCCGTCCTGTTCTCCTTCCCCTTCTCCCTCCTGTCTTCACAGTCCCCATAGTGCTGTCGGCAGAGCCAGCAGATGAGGTGGCGCCATTTTGGGTGCAGTGCTGGGTTATGGCAGGCCCTCGCATCACACCGAGTCTCCTTCGTGGATACTGATCTCAGATGGGGATGTGTCGGGTCCCAAGCCCAGGCCAAGGGAGCCAGCACTGGGCAAGGACAGGAGGAGGGTGGGGCATTGATGGGGGCCACCGTGGGAATGGCTGGCTCCGGGGCATGTGGTTAGCACACAGATGCCTTCATCCCCACCCAGGCTGAGCAGGAGCCGGAAGCTTCTTTCTAGGAAAGGCTGAGGTTGTGGGGCTCATATGTTCCATGGTCTTCACCTCCAGTCCTGCCCCACCATTCTAGAGCCTCCTGGTCTCCCGGTCAGTGATTAGGAACCTGGCCGGGGTGGGGGTGGGAGTGGACATTTCCAGCAAGGGGACATATGTGTGAGGCTGACGGTGAGGAGTGAGCTCCCTGTCCCTGGAAGTGTGAGCAGACGTAGCTGCATGTGTGGGGCGGGGGAAGGAGTGGCCCTGCCTGACCCTGCCTGTGTTTCCTCTTCATTAACTGCCCCTAGAGCCCTGTGCACTGTGGCATGAGCCCAGCAAGCTAGTGGGCTCTGGGGCCAGAAAACCCCAGGTTCACATCCCAGCTCTGCTGTGTGACTGAGGACTCCTGACCAGGCACACCCTTTGATGCCTGTGAAGGGGTAACACCCTGCCTCCAGGGCTGGCAGGGAACTAACTGAAGTTATTAGGGAAGAGCGCCCACACACAGCATGGTCAGCACCGCTGTCCCACCCCAGCAGCAGCAGCGACCGCCCAGCACCTGCTGAGCTAGGAGGTGGGAGCATGCAGGGATTTGGCAGGAGCATGGAGGGATTGCCCACTCCACCACCCAGGGAAACCAGGCCTGCTTTCTCCACCGCCCACGGGGGTCCGGGCCTGTGTCCACCGTTCAATCCCCCTCCTTGAAAGCCTCGCCAGATAGCCAGATAAAACCTCCCCAGCTGGGGTTTGATTTTTGTTTTTGTTTTTCAGGCAGGATCTGGGAGTGGAGACAATGAAATTAATGTTATTTTTTTTTCCTTCCAAGCAGTTTCTCTTCATTGAGAGCTGTGGGACTGGATTCCACCTCGCCTTCCGGTCTGCAGAGGAGCCGGCAGGAGAGGATGGGTGTGGGTGGGGGAGGTCAGGGAGGGCACGGATGGGGAGGGGAGGGGTCAGGCAAGGCAGGGCCAGCAGTAGCGAAAGACTGATGTGCCGTGCTCCTTCCTGCCTCTGGGTCTTTGCACATGCTGTTTCCTCCTCTCCCTGCCTGAACTACTGCATCCATTGGCAGCTCCGGTGCCTCTTTGAGGTTAGGCATCACCTCCTCCAGGAAGCCCTCTCTGACCTCCCTGCACCGAGGCTAAACTGCTGGTGGCCTCTTCTTGCTCTCATGAAGTTGCATTCCATCTTCCCCTGTGCACTGGGCATACTGGCTTATGGCCCCCTCCTCTGCTGAGCCAGCACCCAGCACCGGGCTGAAGACGGCCCTTAGTGGACAGCTGAGCCGAGCATGGAAAGGGACGCTAGTGTGATGACCCCTCCGCAGTCCTCACTGCCTGCTCAGGAGTCTCCATCTGGGGGTGGGAGGTGCAGATGCGGAGAAAGCAGAGGGGAGAGTCAAACTTACACAGGAGGGCCAGGGGGTGGGGGACAGTGGCACAGAAGGAGTGTGGGTGGGACAGCCCACAGGGCTGGACTCGGATGATTCTGGCTGTGTGGCCTTGGGCAGTGAGTTTGCTTGTCAGCCTCAATTTCCTTCTCTGATACATGGGGATAACAGCAACGCCCGGCAAAACTGACCCGGCCAGTCCCGGCGTGAGGCCTGGCGGGCCTTTGCTTAGCAAGGGCAGGAACTGGGGTTGGTGCTGGGCGGGTGGGGTCTCGTGGCTGGGAGGGTCTAGGGCACAGGAGCACAAGCAGACCCACAGATTGCATCAATCATCCCCCACCATTCAACTCCCGGTGCTGAAAATAGCGCCACCCCCAACTCTTGCCTTCTCCCAGCATCCTCCCCAAGGGGCCTGGGGTCACACAAATGGAAGTGAATTATGGGCAGTGGGGATTCAGACCTGCTGTAAATTACACGTGGCTGCAACTGCTAAGAGCCTTTTCCGGGGCTTATCATTTAACCTCTCAGCTCCTCCCCAGTCACACTGGGCCTAGCATTGGGTGGGCACGAGAAGGTCCCAAGGGTCAGGGCTCCGTCCTGGGCTTCCTATGCCCAAGCCCCATGCATGGCCTTGAGGTCTGGTGAGGAGACTGGGGCTAGAGTGGGTGAGAGGAGGCAGGCGGAGGCAGCTCCTGCTTCAGCACCTGCACGCTTCTGTCTGGATGGGGATAAGCACCTTGCACTGTGGAGGGTAACTCGCAGATGGGGACACTAACCAGGGTATTCCCTTCCCCTACCTTCCCCATCATTCTGCAGCATGTGCTGACACTAACACCAATGTCCATCAGATAGTGGCCAGAGTTTCCCGGGGTCACAGCTGTACCTCCCTGTAAAAATCCAGGTCCCCCAACCCATCGCTTTCCCCTCTGCTTTTTGTTTTGGAGACAGGGTCCCGCTCTGTCACACAGGCTGGAGTGCAGTGGTGCGATCATAGCTCATTGAACTGTGGACCTTCTGGGCTCAAGCAATCCTCCCACCTCAGCCTCCTGAGTAGCTGGGACCACAGGCATGTGCCACCTCGTTCTGCCTCCATGTTTTTTTTAACAGAAATAATACATATTCTTTGAGGAAAACTTAGAAAATTCAGACACAAAAAAAGAAAAACTTCAAAACTGGCTGGGTGCAGTGGCTCACGCCTATAATCCCAGCACCTTGAGAGGCCAAGGATGGGGATCACTTGAGGCCAGGAGTTTAAAACCAGCCTGGGCAACATCACGAGACCCCCGTCTCTACATAAAATTTTTAAAAATTTAAAAACAAACTCTACCACCCCCCAGCCGCCCTACCCTAGACTAGAGGTCATAACCCAACAATGCTCCTGTGGGTCTGTCCTGTGTGGTCCTGCCTCTCCTTGGCCCCATGTCCTGGGTCTGCCCACCCTCGGTGGCCAGGCCTCAGGGTGCCCATCTAGTTGCACAGCCCATCCAAGCCCAGATCCTTTTGAGGCAGAGGTTTCCCAGCTCTGGCACCAAAAGGGAAGTGAGAATGGAGAGGCAGCAGTGGTGGTGACATGGGTCCAGCTGAGGATGTGAAGGTGCCCCTGAGCTGGGCTGCCCGTGGCTGGCCTGCACCGCCTCTTTTCTGGGATGGAGGCTCCCTGGGTGCTGCTCCCCTGCTGCCCGGCCAATTCTATCCTTGGGGTCCCTGGAGCCCCGGGTTGTGATGCAGGGAAGAAGAGGGACCCTGGTCCCCAGAGACTCCCCTGAGCCCCCTGCCCAGGCAGCCCCTGGCTTTGACTCAGTCTGCCCAGCCAAGCCTCTCGAGTGAGGATGGGGAAATTGAGGCCTGGCGGGGAAGGGGAACCTGGCTGGCCCTGTTTTCAGATAGAGACTGAGCCAGGACTAGAACCTTGGCCTGGCAGGTCTGTGCCCCCTTCCCTGAGCCTGCTCCAGACTTGGTGGTGGCTGCCTCTGGAGCAGTTTTGGAGTCCCCTGGGCCTCCTGTACCCCCTGAGGCTTAGAAGCCAGAGAGATCTCCATGACCACACAGAGCTGGGTTCAAGGCCTCTCTTTGGCCTTCTGGAAAACGGGGCCAGGGAGAGCCTCTGCTCATGTGCTCATGTGGACAGTGAATGAGATCACAGCAGGCCCGGCCTGTGCAGTGGCCCAGGACGGGTGTCCACTGGGTTGGAGGGTTTGGGCTGGAGGCTGTTCCTGGTGGGCCCCAGGTGTGGCAGGACAATGGGCCTGGTGGCTGCATCTGTGCTGACGAAACCGGCTTCCGCAGGGGCCCCACAGGGCTGCCTGTTTTGCTGGGGAGAGGGTCTTCCCTCCTATCCTCTTCCTCTAGGCCTCCTTCCTGCCACCCTGGGTGGTGGTCCAGCCTTCTGTGCAGGTCTCAGCCGTCTCGCCCATAGTGCCGGCGGCCGCCTGCCCCTGTTCTGACTCACTTCCTACTTCTGGGAGCTGGAAATAGCCTCCCCTGGATGGTGGGACAGGCCGGGGGCTCTACCCCCACCCTGTGCTCACAGGTGGAGGAGCATCCGCCTGCAGTGTCTGGCCCTCAGGTCCCAGCGGTGGACGGGACAGAGGAGGACCCTGCCCTGTGCCATCTGCAGACGTTAATCAAACGACACAGCTGCCGTGCAGAGCACATGAGGACGGCTGAGCCACCGGGGCAGGCGGGGTGCAGCCCTCAGCCGGAGGACCCTTGAGCTGAGCCGGATGCATGGGGTGTTTATGGGCTGGGGGGAAGTACAGGTGGTCGCAGGCGAGGGGGACGGTAATGACGAAGGCCTGGTGGGAGGCAGTAGGAGCGCAGGTATGACTGGAGTGGGTGGGGCCGCCATGGAGATGGGAACCTGGGCTAAGGGACCTGGCTTTACCCTGAGAGCGTTTGCAGGACTTGAAGTTGGAGAAAAACAACACAACCAGATTTGCAGCTTGAAAATGTCCCACAGGAAAAGTGA
The DNA here is from genome assembly GCF_000001405.40 of Homo sapiens. Classification (NCBI taxonomy): domain Eukaryota; kingdom Metazoa; phylum Chordata; class Mammalia; order Primates; family Hominidae; genus Homo; species Homo sapiens. Next base: position 129,618,663 of record NC_000003.12, on the reverse strand, counting down.
TTTGAGGAGAGGAAGGGAGGAGGGCAGCAGAGAGAGGAAGTGGGAGGGGAGGTCCAGGCGGGAGGTGACGGCTCAGACGGGTACAGTAGTCTTGGGGCTAAAAGGGACAAACTGACTAGGGGACTCGGGGACTTCTGGGCCTTTAGTACTCAGAGTCTAAGCAGGGGTGATTGGGAAGCAACCTCTGGACAGGTGGGAGGAAGGGACGGGGCATCCAGGTGCCTCCCGGGTTCTGCCTTGGGCAGCTGGGTGGGGTGGTGGACTGGGGACATGCAGGGTGGGACTGTGGGGGATCTCAGCCTCGGTTTAGGACACTTACTTGCATTTGAGCCTCTAGCCCTGCCACTGCCACAGCCCCCCATTCACATTTTGGGGGACACACATTGGGGTGGGCGGCAGGCCGCGGGTGACAGAACACCATCTACAACTTACAAGGGATCGAGGAAGACACTGACGTGGGCTCAGAAGGCCCCAGGAGCTGCCACCCCCAAGGCCGCAGGACTTGTTGGTGAAAGGATGCCCTCCTCTGCCTGACCACCCTCATGGTTGTCTCACCTGCCTTCCCTGGGGTCTCCTGCCTCTGCCTCCCCCTCCCACAGCATCTCCCGCCATGTGCTGAGACAACAGCTCCCAGCCCAGCACCCTCCTCGGCCCCCATCTCACTGAGGGTGCCTGTCAGGGTCCTCACAGTGGCCTCAGGAAGCATTAGCTGCATTGACTCCAAAAGTATGTTTCCACCTCAGACCTCGTAGTCTTGATTCAGCCATGCCCTGGGGGCTGTGCCAGGGATGACTGGGCTCCTGTGAGCCGCCAAGGTGCAGCCTCACCCCAGACTTGCAGATGGGAAAAAGGCTCTGTCCAAGGTCCCACCGTGCAGAGGGGCAAAGCTGGATTTGAACCCAGATCCTTCTGGCTCCACAGCCTCCTATGTTGCATGGGGACCCCAAAGTGCCTCCTCCTGCCCGCCAGGGGCTGTGAGCTGGGGGAATGGAGGTGAGACTGGCATGACTGTCCTGTACATCTCATCCCAGCTAAGTCACGTCCTCCCTGGAAAACCTGTATTTTAGAGACACAAACCCTTCTCGGGCCAGGGTGTGGGTAGCCACCTTCCCTGACAGGTGGGTGAGTGGCAGGTGGGGATACCGCAGGAGGCCAGGGGAGAAGGTCAAAGCTGCCTCCCCGTTGGCTGCCCTGGAGGCTACACAGGAGTGGGCACCAGCCCAGAAGATGTTGGGAGGACGTTCATTCATCTCCTCTCTCATTTGTTCCTTCATGTGTTCATTCACTCTCGTGAGCCTGCTTAGAGTTTAACCTTCTGCCTAGTGATGGGGGGACATAGGTATGTTCCCAAAAGACTTAGCTCTTCAGATGCCTCCTGGTTGGCAGAGGAGCCAGAGCAACAGAGACAGCATCACCTGGTGTGGGTGCTTGGATGGTGGGAGTCCAGGGTACTGTGGGGGTAGAGGAGGAGGAAGCCTAACCCAGCCTGTGAGAGCTGAGAAGGCTGCCTGGAAGAGGAGCAGCCAGATCCAAATCTTGGAGACACCAGGAGACTTATCCAGGGGGAGAAGGCAGGAGGGAAGTTCAGGGGCCTGGTAGGACTGAATCCCACACTGACAAGGGGACTCGGGGACTTCTGGGCCTTCAGGACTCAGAGTCTAAGTAGGAGTGGGGAAGTCACAGGGGAAGCCACAGGGGAAAGAGGGTGGCTCATCCCGAGATACCCAGCTGTCGTTCTCGTAAGGCTGCTCTTGAGTAAGGAGGGATGATGTCACCCAAAACTCCCTAAAGAACTGGTCCCAAGTTCCTCCGCAGAGAGGACTCTGGCCAGGGAAATCCAGAGTGAGTGTTACTCACAGGCTGGGCTGCCCTAGCTTAAGGGCTGATCCCCCCAAGGCCAGAAGCTGGACCACTCAAGGTTGGAGGCTAGACCACCTCAGATCAGAGACTGGATCATCCAGGGCCACCCAAGGTCAGGCCGAGGCCTCCAAAGCAGAGATCTGGCTCTTGGAGATTGACTATAAAATCGCATGTTTCATGAAGAAGCCCTCATTCAGCCACAGGGCATCAGGACCTGTCAGAGGCCCTGACAGAAAAGGTCCCGATAGCCTCCAAGGCCCAAATCCCCAGCGTGAACCACAGACCCTGGGCCCCGGCAGGCCTTGGCTCCCAGCCACAGCCCTCGTGCAAGTCCACTCCATCAGCCTGTTGCCCATGCAGACCTTGGCTTGTACAGCCACCTCCACCACATACCAGGAATTCCCATGTGTGTGCATGTGACCCCAATATGCACCCCATGCACACGAACACACATTATACCCCTCCTCACATGCACGGCACCCCATCTTTGCACAGACCACCCCCTCATGCCCACATGCACACACACAATGGGGTATCCCTGAGACAGGGGCTTTCACAGGCTGGTACAGGCTGTGCAAGAAGCTCACTACAGGGCGGGACCCCTAATGCCTCTCTCTTGGTGGCTGGGAGCTGGGCCAGTGTGCTGCGGCCCATGTGCTGTGGCCCCTGCCCTTCCTGGACAGCTCTGGGAAGGTTCTTCCCCCTTCAGAGCCATCAGCCTGGGGTGGCAGCTTCCACTTCTGTGAGCGTGCACAGATAAACAATCCCTGTGGTGGCTGCCAAGGGGAACCCGCACCCAGTGGAGCCCCTGTGCCCAGAGGCTGGGCTGGTGGTTGGGACCCTCTCAAAGTTAACACCCCCAAGAACGAGCCCTGGATCCTCCACCAGCCTGCTGCTGGCCTCTCACCCTCCTCTGCTCGCCTCTCACCCTCCTCTGCTCTGCCCACACGGGCCTCTGTCCTCCAGGGCTCCGCCCTTGCTGTGCCCTGCCTGGAAGGCTCTCTTCACCCTCCTGACTCTGCTGCATCCTGCAGATCTCAGCCCCAGGGGCCCGAGGAAGATGGGCTGGAGTCCCCTTGGGAGAAACTTTTCCAGAACCACCTGGTATGGCTCCTTTGTAAGATGGGTGGCTCTTTGTGGTTGTGTAATTATTTGAGTTATTTGGTTAAAGATTATTTGCCCCCTGGGGTAGGGCTGAAGACAAGGACCATGCTTGTGGGCTCACTATGATATCCCAGTGCCTGGCACATAGTAGGTGCTTAGTTAAGGGTTCTTTCTGAAGGAAGGAGAAAGGAAGGAAGAAGGGAGGGAGGGAGGGAGGGAGGGAGAAGAATGACCCTCAGTGTTCTATTCCGCCCAGGGTTTTGCTTGTGTGTCATGAGATGAGGGACAGGACCCTCAGAACTCCACCAGGAATCAGGTGTGAACGGTCACCTTGAGGGCCAGTGGGTGTCCCAGATGAGGCAGGAGGTGCAGGAGGGCTGATGTGGCCTGCTCTTATGAGGGGCAGTCAGTAGGGCCAATGGACAGTGGGGACAGGGAGGTCGCTTTGGCAGCATCTGCCTGGCACTGCCCAGGGAGGGGGTCTCCAGCAGCCAACATGACCATCCTGCCTGCTGGGGGGGCATGTCCTGGGGTGGTGCTGGCAGCCATCTGCCCAGCCCAACATTTATTAGTAGTGATCGTGTGTTCCACCCTGGAAGCGCTCCCAGTGCACTGGGGAAGTCACGTGCCCTCGCACTGGGTGATATGAGGTTTGATAGGAGGAGCTCTAAGTGGGTGGAGGAACTCCTAATACTGCTTTGAGGCTCAAGGAAGTCTTCTCAGAAGGTCTTTAGACTAGGTCTTGAGGGAGGCCTAGGAGTTCACTAGGAAAGACTTTCCAGAGAAGGTGAAATTGGGTTGGGTCTTGAGGGATACAAAAAGTTCACTCAGAAAACAAGAGAGGAAACACCTTTTCTGGACACTGGGTTCTCTCTAGGGGCTCATGTAGGCCATCAGACCAGTAAGACCACAGTATTCCGGGACCCTGCTCACCCATGCCAGCCTCTCCTGTACGCCCTGTGTGTGACCGTATGGGTGAGGGCCCCTCCACTGCCCCATCCTAGAGCGGTTGGGATTGTGCCAGTGTGGAGTGTG